>NC_000010.11:3494848-3646363 GCF_000001405.40 Homo sapiens | reverse complement strand
CTACTCCCATGTGGTGTTGGAACTCTGTTTTTGATCCATGCATCCTTCTTTTGGAGAACTACACCCTTCAGAACTTACCAAGGAAAGATTCTTTGGGGGTAACTACTGAGAGCTTGTATGTCTAAATATATGTTTATTCTAATCGCATTCTTAATTAATAGTTGGGCTGAGCATAGAATTCCAGGTTAGGGATCAATTTCCTTCAGGGCCTTGAAGGTACATTTCTATCATCTCCCAGCTTCTATTGTTTTGGTTGAGAACTGTGAAAATGTTCCATGTTTTCTGCTTTATGTTGACTGTTTATCTTCTCTTTGAAAGAGAGTAGGACTTTCTCTTTTGTTCTTGCTAAGTAGAGGAACAATTTAGGATTTATTCCTATTATTATGTTCATATTAATAATATGAAACTATTTGGGACTTATTCAATAACTACATAGTTATATCAGCTGCTTGTTGTGTCAGAGGTGTTTGAACCAGAGGGACTCCATCTTGAATAGGGGCTAGGTAAAACAAGGCGAGACCTACTGGGCTGCTTTCCCAGGAGGTTAGGCGTTCTAAGTCACAGGATGAGATAGGAGGTCGGCACGAGAGACAGGTCATGAAGACCTTACTGGAAAAACAAGTTGTGGTAAAGAAGCTAAAACCCACCAAAACCAAGACGGCCATAAAAGTTACCTCTGGTCTTCTTCACTGCTCATTTTACACTAATTAGAATACATTAGCATGCTACAAGACACTCCCACCAGCACCACAACAACTTACAAATGCCATGGCAACACCACAAAGTTACTGTTATATGGTCTAAAAACGGGAGAAACCCTCAGTTCCGGAAATTGGCCACCCCTTTCCCAGAAAACTCTTGAATAATCCACCCCTCGTTCAGCATATAACCAAGAAGTCACAATAAATATAAGCAGCTGAATGGCCCATGCTGCTGCTCTGCCTATGGAGTAGTCATTCTTTATTCCTTTACTTCTTTTTAAATTTATTTTTTATTTTTTTTGAGACAGAGTCTCACTCTTGTCGCCCAGACTAGAGAACAGTGGAGCGATCTCGGCTCGCTGCAACCTCCACCTCCTGGGTTCAAGCGATTCTCCTGCCTCAGCCTCCCGAGTAGCAGGGATTACAGGTACCCGCCACTATACCCAGCTAATTTTTGTATTTTTAGTAGAGACGGGGTTTCATCATGTTGGCCAGGCTGGTCTTTAACTCAAGCAATCCGCCCACCTCAGCCTCCAAAAGTGTTGGGATTACAGGTGTGAGCCACTGCGACCGGCCTCCTTTACTTTCTTAATAAACCTGCTTTCACTTTACTCTATGGATTCACCTCATACTCTTTCTTGCGCAAGATCCAGGAACCCTCTCTTGGGGTCTGGATCGAAACCCCTTTCCAGTAAGCATTGGGCACTGTGCTAAATGCTGGGAATACCCAGGAAACAAGAAAGAGTCCAGGCGGTAGCCAGACCTCAAGGAAGTACCATCTCGTCAGGATCAGAAATTCTGCTTCCTAACTCAGAAATAATTTTTTTTTCTGAACGTATTTTAGACAAACACCCTAGAGAAGTAACTAGAAATCTACAGAAAACTTTGGCTCCTAAAGCTGCATACTTTGCATTTGCAAAGACTGTTTGTCACTTGACATATACACTTTGATAAAAACAGTGCCAAAATTTGAAGTAGGGAAATGTAGGTCAACTAGGCTAACAATCAAGAGAGCCCTGACAGTAGGTTATAACAAGTTTGTTTCCTAATATTAAGGAGGGATAACTGTGAATCTCTTGTGGTTATCTAATGACAATAAACTAAGACATAGATCTGATACGAGTGATGACAGAACTACGCCATAGGACCTGATTTTAGGAGGTTGCTTCTCTCTGTCAATTCTTTCCTGTTCTTCCAGAATTAACCACCATTCTCAGTAATAACCAGGAGGGCGGCTTCTTCATCATTCAAATAAGCACCTGTTGATGCCAATGGAAAGCAAAGTCGTACACACCTCGTTCTACGTAACAGAATCCTGAAGGGGTCTCTGTTTCTGTGTCCAAACCTTCCAGATGGATTAGTAAATCCCATGTGGGAAGTAATTTAGCCCAACTATGACTTATTAGCTTGTTCAGTAGTCGCATTTTCTTTTTTTTCAAAATAAAAATTAGGGATGAGGTTGGGGAAATATAAAATCTAGAAGTGGCCGGGCACGGTGGCTCACGCCTGTAATCCCAGCACTTTGGGGGGCCAAGGGAGGCGGAACACGAGGTCGAGAGATTGAGACCATCCTGGCCAACATGGTGAAACCCCGTCTCTACTAAAAATACAAAAATTAGCCAGGCATGGTGGCGGGCCCCTGTAGTCCCAGCTATTCGGGAGGCTGGGGCAGGAGAATCACTTGAACGCGGGAGGCGGAGATTGCAGTGAGTCGAGATCGCGCCACTGCACTCCAGCCTGGTGACAGAGCAAAACTCCATCTCAAAAAAAAAAATTCTTTAATTAATATAATGTGCAAAGTGTTAGACAGGGAAATAAAAGTAAAGGAAGACAAATGTCTTGGGTTAACCTGAAACAACCCACCATTGCATGGAAGGAAAAGAACAGAACACAAAATGCAGCCTCAATAGAGGACCAGGAATCAAGACAATCACTGGAACCCTGGACCTTTACAGATATTCAGAGGGCTGCATGCATCCAAGTCTCCCACCATGCTTCTTTAGGAAGGCAGATTCCTGGGCTCGCTCTCAGGTGTGTTTTATCAGAAACCTACATTTCAACATCTGCCCAGATGATGTAGGTGCACACAACAGTCTGGGAGGCACTGCTTGACCTCGGCTTCAGTGTGAGAAGCAGCAGAGATGCACATACGTTACCTGCTTTGGGGGGAAACCTCAGTAGGAGGGAGTTTTCATATTACAATTTTGACTCGTATTCAGAAAATGGTTAGTAAACAGCAAAGGTCTTTTCCTTCTCGTCTCTTACCTCTCCCTGTTCACAGACAGACTTCAGGATGCCGCGGTGTTAGTTTTTCCTAATTTAAGGCTGCTGTGGATATTCACTTCAATCTGATTTTACTGTTATTAAGTTACATGTGTGTGCATGCGTGTGTGTGTTTGGTCAGGTACAGTAATTCTCAGGAGCAAATCCTTTTAGTCTTTGATGAATACGAAAAAAGACTTCTGTTTAATGACAGGAGGGAAAATTATAACTTTGTATACTTTTTTTTTTTTTGAGATGGAGTCTTGCCCTGTCACCCAGGCTGTGGTGCAGTGTTGTGATCTCGGCTCACTGCAATCTCCACCTCCCGGGTTCAAGCGATTCTCTCACCTCAGCCTCCCGAGTAGCTGGAATTACAGGCATGAGCCACCACGCCCAGCTAATTTTTGTATTTTTAGTAGAGATGGGGTTTCCCATGTTGCCAAGCTGATCTTGAACTACTGACCTCAAGTGATCTGCCCACCTCGGCCTCCCAAAGTGCTGGGATTACAGTCATGAGCAACCATGCCTGGCCACGTTTTTATAAGTAATGGAAAATCTTGGAAGATTTTTTGAGCTGGGGTGAGATCATAAGACAGGGTTGAAGCATACTCATCTAACAAGTGGACAGCAATCCCTGTGAATATTTGTCTGCCAGGTCAAATGGCAGGCAAGCCATCGTCCTTCCTGCACAAGGCCCAATAGGACTGAAGATTCAGGTCAGATTGTCACCTACTGGGCAATGCCTGAGTGTGCCTTGGTGAGGCCTGGGTCTGAAATTGGAGACATGAGGGAGAAACCCCACCAGCAACAATGGCACTGATGTGTACCTCCTCTTCTCATCACAGAGCTGTGCTTATGAGCTGAGTCAGAGGGAAAGACAGAGGTTGAAATACGAGTTCCATGATCTAGCCAGTACACTGTTTGGAAGTGACAGAAATCCAACTCAGGCTAGCTTTGTGGAAAAAGGGAATGAATCATATGGAACGGAGAAGGCCAGGAATGGAGCTGGCCTGGCAATTTTGGAAAAAGGGAGTACAGGGCTTCTTCCTTTCCTCTCTCTTGTTTCCCTGTGATTTTATTCTCCCTTGAGGCAGATGTAGATGAGCTAATGGTAGGCATTGAGAGGAGGGTTGGGTTGCAGACAGATGCGGATTTGTTTAATCTCAGCTCGAGAACTCCAGAAGAAAGAGAGAAAGTACCTTTGTCAGTGGCCCTATATAAAATCCCAAGGAAGGCATCTGATTGGCTGGATCAAGGTCATTTGCCCATCTCTGAGCCAATCAGCATGGCCAGAAGGGACCCATGATTGGCCAATCCTTGATCATGTGCTCACCCATGCGGTTGGGATGGTGATGGGGTGCAATTTGAATCAGAAGCCCTAGAGGAGTAGGAGAGATAAGTCCCTAAACATTAGTAGACTAAGAGGGAAAAAAACGTTGGGCAGATACAAATACACATTATTGTCTCTTACTGGCTTTGCAACTTTGGCAAATTAATTTCTCTATGCTTAGTAGGGTTATTAAAAAAATTGAGATAAATTATACCAAGTCTTTAGCACATATTGCCACTCAATACATAGCTATTTTTATTGCCAACCAGTTTTCTTCCTAAGAATTTATAAACCATACCAGTCTATGGACAAAAATTCCCAGGATTTCTTGTTTAATCACTTTATGGGATGCCATTGGGACCAAGACAAATACCTGCCTGGCACATCAACTGGGTTAAATCCACCAATCGTTCAACAAATTGTTATATGTCCTAGGCACAGTTCAGATTTTAAAACATTAAACCTTGAAAAGTTCACTTTGCACTAACATAGTTTTGCTATCTCACTTGGCAAACTACAGTGCAAGTCTGAGAGACGGAGAGGTCTATCTAGGAGCCCACAGACTGGTTAGAGGTCAGCCTGGCCCTGGAGTCAGGGATGTCCTCCAGAAGAATTGTAGGCTGCCCTCACACACACACACACACACACACACACACAAATCTGAATCTGCTTAAGCTAATGGATTATCTCCGATTACTGAAGGCTGCTCTGCAGTTCCCGGTAATGACGGACGTGCTGCTTCTTCTTTCCAATCAGAGGATCCCCAACAGCAGAATCACTCAAACTCCCCGTGCCAAGTGGCTCCCTTTAATCCCAATGCCAGGTGGATGGATTCCCACGCTGCCCAGGCAGTTCTAACGTGCAGCCTGGTTTGGGAACCGTGGTCTCGGATGCTCCCAGGTATGCAAAGGTGGTGACTGACCTGCACACTGCAGACGACCCTGCTCTTCCTCCTCCAGCTCAGCTATTCTTAAACTTGAGCACACATGAGATTCACTAGGAAGGCTGATTTAGACAGATTCTGGGCCTCACTCCAGGGTTCTGATTCTGGGGGTCTGTGGTGAGGACCGGAAATGTGCAGGTCTAGCAAGTTCTCAGAAGACGGGGGGCGGGGGGCGGGGGGGCTGCAGGTTGGGAATCGCATCTTGGGAACCAGAGCTCCAGCTGGTTCCTTTTTTTTTTTTTTAATTTGGCCACGTTATAACCTAGGAGGAAAGGTCCCATGCAAGAAAAAGAGGTAAACTGGACCTGGAATTTCCCTTGGTTACCTTAAACATATATTAGAAAAAAGACTTCTATTCTAAAATTATAGCTGCAGACTTAGCCAAATTAGAGGACATCTTTGTTTGAGAATATCATTCATTGTTTTGGTTGATTTTAGGATTCAGACTCAAAGCTACTTGAGTTAAACCTTGGTTTGGAATTCACTTATGATATAACTATGGGAAAATTAAACTTTTTTTCTCCTAAGTCTCAATTTCAGATTTATAAATTAAGGATAATAGTATGTTCTGGAGACATGATTTTATAAAATTAAAATGAGATAAGTTGAGTACAATGCACAGCACAGAGGAGGTGCTTAGCAAAGGTTGCAGCAGGTGACTCTCATCAGTGAAGACCAGGACTCACAGAATCCTATAGCACACAGAGGTGGCCGGCATTCATTTGGATCTTAACGTGCGCGGCTTTGCTCATCATACACAGTTTAGGAAGAGATTTCCAACCAGAGTCACTAAAGCTTGTGGAAATTCATGTTATCATTAATAACTACTAAATATTTAAAACAGCAAATATACAAAAAATAAAACTAAAGAAGATAGAGTCCAGGCACCTCAGGTCGGTGCATGATGTGTGTGCGGTTGGATGGGCAGATTTGAGCCACTTTGAGATGGGCCTTCCACTCCATGCTGGGGAATTTGGACTCAATTCTGTGGGCGATTAGGAACCACTAAGGGGGTAGCTTGGTCAAAACTGGTGTTCCTCAGTGTTCCTGGGTGATACTTTTGATTTCAGGATTCTTTTTCAAGGCCTGTATATCAACTGTAGAAGGTTCTTTGAAGATTTCTCCATCTTAATTGGTTACTTTAAATTTGCTTATCTGAGTTCACACCTTTTTCAAAAGTCGTTTCCTTATAAACATGTGATTTTGTAAGGACCTGCTGGTCTTTTTTTTTCTCAATGAGTCTAGCTGTTCTCTTTCCCTTTGAGAGTGTGTAGCAATAACATCTGGTGGGTAGAAGGATTTGCTCTAGTCCAAGGAAATTAAACGTCTATAGCAGGAGATAGGATAATTACCAATTGTGGTGACAACAGGCACCGTCCCCCAGGTATACCTGAGGGCCTGTGTGAGTGGAGTGAATCACCGTCTAAATAGCTCCTGTGGTTGGGAACTTTGGAGTCAGATAGCTTTCGATTAAATCTCTTCACTGTCACTCACATGCTGTGTGATCTGGGACAGTGGTCACTTAACAACTCTAAGCCTCAATTTCCTTTTATAAAAATTGTCACATAATGCCCACATGAGAAGACTGTTGTTAAATTCAATTAAGTGTTTTTCATCTGCTAAGTACATAATAAGAGCTCAAGCAAGAATCTCCCACTTCTACTGGAGATTCAGTCTACTGAGCCGATCATCTCCAAGGCAGGTCTCTTGGTCTAAAGCAAGCGCACTTTGGATGAGACACATCAAGACTTTTCCCATCATTAAAAACCTTAAGATTTGCATTTCTCTAATGATCAGTGATGTTGAGCTTTTTTTCATATGTTTGTTGGCCGCGTGTCTTCTTTTGAGAAGTGTCTGTTCATGTCCTTTGCCCACTTTTTAATGGCACAGGTTTACCTATGTGACAAACGTGCACGTCCTGCACATGAATCCTGGAACTTAAAATCAAATTAAGCTAAAAAAAATTACAAAATGAAAAAAAAGACCTTAAGCATTGGATGGTTGTCTGAGACTTTGTAAAATAGGGAGACTTGGTTCCAGGGATTACAGCTCAAGGCAGGTACCCATGGTGGTGGGATGTGGGCACAAGGGGAGGAGGCTGGCCCGGCTGGGGTGTCATCGTGGAGTGGGCCATCAGACTCCAGAGGAACCCTAGGTCCTAGGAGATGTTCCAAAGGGGATGAAGGAGACAAAGGAAGAGAGACGCCCTTGGAATAGGGGGTCACAGAGGGAACATCCCTGTCACAGACTGGCAGAGTCTCCCCACAAGGCCCAAGGTCACATCCTATGACATCCCACTGCAGGGTTGCACCTCTGGACCTGTGGACACCCACAGAAGAACAGGGTCTGTGAACCCCAGGGATGGAAAAGATAGAAAAGGGCGACTCTCCACCCCTGGTTTCCTCCACCCAGGCAGCAGCCAGCTACTCGGCAAACTCCCTCTACTCTCGTAGTCTTGTTGGAGGAAGGACCCACCCCACTCTTGCTGAATGCATCTACTTTGCACTGACAAGAACCATATTTTTATGCACTCACGATATTGATGGAGAGACAAAATAAATGAGTTGAGCTAGGTCCTGATACTTATCTAAGTGTGGATGGTGGGAACTTACAATATTACACACAAGGAGTTGCATTATTGACTGCTCTTCAGGAAAGAAGGAAGTCATAAAATTACTTAAGTATTGAGCCTTTTGTATTCCATTTTTTTCCAGCATATCTCTAAACCCTTTGCAGGTTTTATAGACTTCATAGGGGGGAATTCTAGTTCTTGTTTTCAAAAGAACTTAGTGTTGCTGGGAGGAGTGGCCAAAGGAATTTGGAAAAATAAATAGAGTGGAAAACTCTGCATTCTAAGGCAAACGTTTATGATGAAGCATGAACCGTCGCTCCATCTGGGCATGACATTTTCATGTGACTCTTTTGGTACCAGTATTTTGACCCCAGGGACATTTTGACATAACCTAAAAAGATATCATGAAGCTTTCAGCTATTTTTGTTCTAAGTAATGTGCTCAGTAAACATCCTCCCCTCTCCCCCGGGTTTCAGTCCTTCAGAAAGTTGCCCGCATCCCATCGAAGGAGGATTGCAGGGGGAAGGTCAGAGAAAGAATAAGAAATCTGGGTTGTCTCATTAATGACACGTCTTGTGTTTGCATTTTGTATGCAGGCGAAGGACACGGCGACATTACAGAGAGCTCTCTCGAAACGGCTCCCACGAGAAAACAGCGATGTCCAACTCACCATGGTACAATAGCTCGCCTTAGCCACAACTCCACTTGCTCTTCTGGGACTCAGGAAGGCCTTAAAATGTGCAAAAAGATGATGACAGAGTAAGCACGGAAGTCTACCAGTCACAGGCGCCTAGTACGTTTAGTGCTCACACTCCATTCTGCCTTGTCATTTGAGAGACTTTGGAGGCTGCATTGTAAGAAACGGTTGGCTGTGGAAATACATTCCTGTCCATTCCCCTTACTACTTTTGCGATTAATTCCCTATGTTGCATTTTTCTCATGAATAAAGCAGAAATTATAACTATTGAATCATAGGATTACCATAAAGGTAAAATGCTATAAACTTCTATAAAGGTATTACTTCCTGAGGAATACCTCTTATTCATCTTTGATGTTGGCTTGTATGGATCACATTGGCTGGCATGCTGGAGATTTTCAGCAAGAATCTGTTAATAGAACAATAGGTATTGAATTGGTGAACAGAGCGCCAGACATTGGGAAATAATCCTACCGCTTATCCCTTTCCCTTCTCAGCAACTCACCCCGTCTCGGCAGTCAAGAAACTGAGAACCTCCAATGTTAAATGACTTGTCTAAATTCATGACAGAAATTAAATTTAGACCAAGTTTGCCAAATTTAACCATATTAAACAAATATGCAGGATGCTCATTAAACTGAAACATCAAATACACAAGAAATAATTAATCACTGGGACACACTACTACTAAAATAAAAATTGATGTCTACCTGGAATGACACTCTAACTGGGCATCTGCATTTCATCAGACAGCCCTGGTTTGGACTGGCATCCTCTGACTCAGAGGCCCGGGCTCTTTCCTGCTCATCCTGCTTGTCTGGAGAACAGAAATGATCAGAGGTCGGAATGATGGGAGCAGGCAGGGCAGGAGGAGTGGAGAGAGGGAAAGACGGACGCGAATATGTGTATGTCAGTGTGGTCAGGCGTCCTGTGCCGGGGCTCCCAGCAGTGCGCTGCCGGATTGCGCATTGAAGCCCTCTGGAAATACGCCACACCCCTGCCAGATGGAAAGAGATGTGCCTGGATTGCAAGGAGCACATGACCCACTCGGAAGAATATGCAACTAATTGCTAATTTCATGTCTGGTTGGCAGCTTGCCCACAGTCCTTGCAGGTGTCATGAACACGGATCTCCAAGGAGCCTGCGCCGTCCATCATCTCGGTTTTGCTTTCATTCTAGGGCTGATCTCATCCAAAGTGAGCGATTCTGCTCACTTTGATCCATTATACTCCGTGCGGTTAGTCTGGATTATTTACGAATGAAGTTGCGAGGCTACATTTTCTCCTTCATTGTTCAAATCGTTGCTTTGTGAAAAATACCTGGCAAAAAACTTAAGTGTTGGAGAGTGGCTTCAGAATGTGCCTCCTGAGTCACCCTGATGAAGGTCGAAGGTGAACCACATAAAAACATCTCTTTGGACCAGGCACGGTGTCTCACGCCTGTAATCCCAACACTTTGGGAGGCCGAGGCAGGCGGATCACCTGGAGTTCGAGACCGGCCTGGCCAACATGATGAAACCCTGTCTCTACTAAAAATACGAAAAACTAGCTAGGCGTGGTGGCGGTGGCTTAAGCCTGTAATCGCAGCTACTTGAGAGGCTGAGGCAGGAGAATCGCTTGAACCCAGGAGGCAGAGGTTGCAGTGAGCCGAGATCTGCCATTGCACTCCAGCCTGGGAAACAAGAGTGAAACTCCGTCTCAAAAAAAAAAAAAAAAAAAAAAAATCTCTTTTGTCTTCTCCTGTGACACACTATTTCTATTCAATGTAAACCAACACGATCCTAGTAATATCATGTTATAAACCCTTTTCAGAATCGTCTATGAAATTAATGGAGTTAGACCTGGAACTGGGGATGACTTTGCCCCAAGACACACCTGTGAGTGAAACTGTCAGGCTGCCAGGGGATTCATGGTAAAACAGGGTTGCTCTGAACTGCAGAGTTAACAAACAAGTTAGTGCGTGCGGGAGCCATCGAAACTTCCCTCCTGCCAGGAAGGATAAGCAGAAACTATGAATAGAAAAAAAAAAAAAAAAAAACTTCAAGGTAAATAGGAATGTTTTGGTTTGAAGAAAGGCTGATTGTTTTTACAAAAATCCCCACAGACCTGGCAGCAATTATTAAAGAAGTTATTACTGCGGGTGAGGGAATGAAGATTTCAGATGAATATGCAAAAGACTAAAGTCATGTTTAATGCAAAGAAGTAAGCAAACAGTAGAAATAATTAAAAGCTGTTAAGGCATATGTCTGTTTGGCTGACACATATGCTATTAAAAAAAAGAGACTATATAGCCAGTTGCCTCTAAGAATCTGTCTTTGCTGCAAACCATTTCAATGAGTAATAGTGTACAATCATATTTTACATCCACGAACTGCCTTTCATCAAACACATCAGGGTCTATACTCCGTCTCGCTCTTCCACAGACAGACATGACATTCATCGTGGAAGTAATTCACCTCTGGCCTTATCTGAAGAGGCTGGCTTTGGTTACCTGTTCCAGCCAGCTGTTAATTATCTACAGATGGATTTGGTGACAAAAGAGCCCATTCTCCACCCTGCCAGCCGGACACCTGGCTCACCACCCTTTCCCCTATTCCTGGCCCTGAATGATTGAATGGAGAAACAGTTACCAGCCTGATGGCAAGCTGTCCTTAGTTTTCTCTTTTTCTTTTTTGTACTGTCTCTCTCTCTCTTTTTTTTTTAATTTGGCTAAAGTTGAGGAAAATCATTTGAGGGATGCCAGATTAAGTTTCCACCACCTAAAATATCAACCTGTAAGGGACCAAAATCAGTTAAGATTAGGTTTGATGCAGAAACACCATTTGACCCAGCAATCCCATTACTGGGTATATACTCAAAGGAATATAAATTATTCTACTATAAAGACACATGCACATGTTTATCGCAGCACTATTCACTACAGCAAAGACATGGAATCAACCCAAATACCCCTCAATGATAGACTGGATGAAGAAAATGTGGTACATATACACTATGGAATACTATGCAGCCATAAAAAGGAACAAGGTCATGTTCTTTGCAGGGACATGGATGGAGCTGGAAGCCATTATCCTCAGCAAACTAACACAGGACAGAAAACCAAACACTGCATGTTCTCACTTATAAGTGGGAGCTGAACATTGAGAACACAGGGAGGGGAACAACACACACACTGGGGCCTGTTGGGAGGCTGGGAGGAGACAGAGCATCAGGATTAATAGCTAATGCATGCCAGGTTTAATACCAGGTGATGGGTTGATAGGTGCAGCAAACCACTATGGCACACTTTTACGTACGTAACAAATCTGCACATCCTGCACATGTATCCTGGAGCTTAAAATAAAATAAAATAAAATTTTAAAAAATATTAAGTTTGATGGCAAATAAGAAAAACTCAAACTGGCAGTAGCTTCCATAAGGTGGGGTTTATTACTCTTATGAAGTCTATGAAGTGGAGGTAGTCATCCCAGGATTGTCTTTTTTTTTTTTTTTGTATTTGTGGAGAACGGGGCCTTGCTATATTGCCTAGGCAGGTATTGAACTCCTGGGCTCAAGCTATCCTTCCGCTTCTGCCTCCCTAAGAGCTGGGATTACAGGCATGAGCCACTGAGCCCGGCCCATTCCAGATTGATGTAAGTCTCCCTCTATCTCCAGGCTCTGCCGTGCCCAACTTTGGGGCTTCCCCTCGGTCAAGATGACAGCTTGGCTGTCTGTCCTTGCACCCACGTTCCACCAGCTGGCAGGAAAGTGGGAAGAAAAGGGTGCCCACTCCATCTAAGGGAGTTGTTGGAAGCTGCACCCACACTGCCAATCATCCATGGGGTGGAACTTCATCACCCGGCAACCCCTGGCTGGAAAGGAGGCTGCAAATGTGGCTTCTACTCCGAGTGGCTGTGCACGTTTCTGACAGTCAGGAGCTCTACTACTAAAAACGAAGAAGACTCAGGAGGCTTAGCCAGGAGGTCCCTTGAGCCCAGGAGTTCAAGACCAGCCTGGGCAACATAGAGTGACCCTATCTCAGACAAACAAAATAGAAAAAGAAGGAGAGGAGGAATATTGGGAAGCAACTAACTGTATCTTCACAAGGGCCCTCCCTAAAACACCCCAAAATAAATTGAGGATAGATGCCTATTAACTTAGGGAGCAGCAAATGATGATTATTATGGAACTTACAGAACTGAATATAAGGCAATCCCTAATATAAAGGCAGCCATTCATTTTCACTGGGAGAGATAGAAAAATATAAACTTTAAGAGCTTTAGATTATATTTTTCCAAATATGAGGTTTTCAAAATGTAAGTTTTTAAAAAGTTTTAAAGCCTTAGATGATATATTTAAATATATACTTAGAATCCCTGATTGATGAATTTGGTTACTAATTTATATTTTAAAATTATTTATTATACAAAGTAATGTATTGATTTAGATACATTGTTTTCCACTTACATTCTATAAAACAATTATTAATAACTAAACTGTTCACAAATATGCTTAACATGAATCTACCTTGAACTAGAGTTTCTATCAGCATTGACAAGGTTTGCCTTTTAATTATCAATGGTGGTGCCATTGCCCATGGTTACTGGAATCTTCACCACAATCAACCACCACAGTTGAAGTGGCCATGATATATAAATGGGTTTTACATGGTTCAGGTAATAAACTGTTACGTGAGCTTTTTGTTCTTGCCCAGTGAATCAAGGGTCACTGAAGATCAGAAAACAAATTTGTCCTAGTACCGTCATCACTCTGAAAAACAAAACGGTGCTGGTGGCTGTTCCTTCATGCTTTGTAAAGAATGGTGCACTGAGACTTCATTGCATGTAATTCAGTGTTTTGCCTCCAACAGGGGTTTCAGACGACATGATAGTTCACCCTAGCAGTTGCTTTTGATCCAGTTGTTCTAGAAATACTAGAGCTGAGAGAAGCGTCAGCATTCAGAAATTAGGATCTCTAATTTTACTATATTCACTTTACTACTTTTGGTAGATTTTATTATGTAAGTAGTTTAAAGTTACCCCGTGGCACTGCCCATTAGACAATGGAGAGTAGTGATCTTCCAGTCTGGATACATATCGTCATAGGCTGGGCAAATTCATTTCAAAGGGCAGATTCTTGAGCTCCATCTAAGAGGTCTTTAACCCATTGAATCAGAATTTCTGGGACAGGACCTTGGAATCGCTATTTTTCCAAAGCTTCTAAAGAGACTTTGAGGCAGCCAACCTGACAATGTTCCTTGGACCAATATTTGGAAAATGTTGGCTAAAACTTTCAAAAATATCCTCCCCAAAATTTGGAGGGTAGGGACAAAATCCAGGACTTGAAGCTCTTAGGCAGATGTGGAGAAGAGGACACCAGAATAAATAGAAAGTTACTTAGAAGACTCATGACTAGGTTTGTTTTGTTTTCTGCTTTTTTTTCTACTTTAAAATGTTTTAATTACAGCAAGCAGCAAGCATATTCAAAGCAATGCTTCTAGTCTCAAAGTTTCCCAATATCTTGGAAAGCTTTTCCTTTTTTTCTTGTGCCCCCTTCAGTGAGTAGGTCCCTAGCTCTAGTGCATCACACTGTCTCCCGCCACTTTAATAAATGCACAATTGCATCTTTGAATCATGATTTAAGACTGAAATTTAGCAGAGAGTTCAACAGCTCATTTATAAAGCATGCAGGTTATCAGGTAGATCAGTTACCTCATATATCAACATCTCAGAAGGTACTCCCACCAACGCCCACACAGTGCCTTCCTTATTTTAATAGTATATCACAGTTCAAACATAAAAATTGGTGTACAGAATGGATGGGAAATTTATGTAAGATGATCTTATTCTATTTCCCAAATTAGAATGTACTTAGAGTACTGTCTACAAAACTGGTGGCTTGAAATTTTTACTGTCAGTGGGTTACAGAATTTGGCATTTCGTCTTCATCTAGTGATAAAGCTTCCCTTGGTATGACTCACGGTTGAGAGACTGTCATAGCAGGGTAGGAATAAAGCTGCGAGTATGGTGGACTGTAGAAGCTTAAGAGGCATCTGGGTCAGCCACTCTTTTGAATCTTGTAGAATAAGACCATAAGCTTATTTGGATTTGTTCCCCTTTACAAAACAGACAGATAGACAGAGAGAGAGAGAGAGAGAGAGCATGAGTCCACATTTCTAAATCTCTTCTCTTCCTTTCTCCTTCAAAATCCCTGGCTTCTCTGAGATGGGTTATAATATCTCCCATACTTCGAAGCATCTCCCTCTCACTAAAGACTGGCCCCTCACCTGGAAAAGCTCTATTTCTGGTTAAACCCAACTAGGTTCCCTCTCTTTAGACCAGACAGCTGATCATGGGAGGATTAAGTCATCTCAGGCTTTTATGTAAAGTCATACCCACAGATCCCAGATGGGCAATTCCCACCGCCCAGCAGCCCTGTCTTCCTATCCTGTTGCCTTCATGGTCTGTAAGATCTTGCAAACAAAATGACCTACCTTAAAGATCCCTCCTGTCCATTCCACCTTCTCTCCCCACCCATCACACAATCATTTTGGAATGAATGGGCTAAACTTGCTGTCTCTCCCTGCCAGCTTCAAATCCCTTTCCAGCCCCATCTGGCCTGCATGCTCACCATCACTGAGACCCTCACCTGAGCCTGTGGGCCATTCTCCATCTGCATCCTGTTCTCTGGCTGCAGCCAGCATCAGCACCAGTGGCCCCTCTCTCACTGCCTCCCTCTCAAGCCCTCAATGCCCCCTTCTGTTTCCCAGCAGTGGGATCTCACCTTGCCAGTCTCTCTTGCAGGCTTCTCCTCCAACCAGACCCAGAGTTTGGTCTTGGGACCACCTCTCTTTCCCAGCTTGGCTTTTTTCCAAGTGATTTTGTCCAGCCCTGTTGCCTTCAATAGTCTCTCAATGCTGGTGATTCCTGAACCTCTCTCTCTGGTCTAGGTGCCCATAATTCTCTTCTTGACATCTCCATCTATGTGACTTAATGACATCTCAGGAATGCGATTCCAAGGTGGAGCTCTCAGTTTCCCTCCCCACAAAGTCACTTCCATGGTTTTCTTCATTTCATTTATCTAAGATAAAAAAACCAAGTGCCCTTCTTGATTCCATGTCTAGTCTCAACCACCAAACACATATTTTTAAGGAGAAAATAAGATTATATATAATAAAATAGTTAGAAATGCACCTTGAACGAAATTTGAGTTATGTTAATAAGCCCCAACCTCAAGAGAGCTTTGAGTCTTTTAATGGGCTATAATTGAGTTCCTTCCTCAAAGTTTGATGATGATGCTGGGTCTGTGCTGTTCTTTAATAATCTGGCTTCAAATACCTTTTCCCCTTCTTATTTTAAATGTAAGATAAAATAACAGTGATGGCTGCCTTTTATATCACCATGAATTATATTCTCAGATGACAGGATACTGGTGAAAAGTTAGAGGACAGGAGAACAGGAGAAGAGATAGCATCATGCACCATGTGACTCAGAGAGGCGGTGGCAGTGATTGTTAATTTGTGGCATCCACATCCATAGTGGCCTTAAGAGAATGTATATGGGGATGAGTGGATGCATCGAGTTAAAAAGGATGCCATAAATTAATACTTGATGTAGAATAGCTCATACACATGTTTACCTCTCTACCAGTACCCTTCAAAGTGCTACAAAGTTTATAGTTGTATTTGGAAATTATGTATTTTTTCAAATGATAATTACTTAACAATTGTAAAAAAGATAAGTACTCTCATGAATTGTTTCATGAGAATGTTGAATTTCCTTCACAGATAAATTTGAATTCCTACCTCATGCCTTAGAGTAGAATAAGTTTCAGGTGAATCCAAGACATAGATGCAAAACATAAATAAATCTATAAGAAGAAACTACATGAAGATACTTTTTAAGTAATCTTGGAAAGAGGAAGTCTTTTTCAATGAGATATAAAACTTAAGAGTTATGAAAAGTAAAGATGATTGAGTTGTGCTACCTAAAACAAAAGCTACCTGCAAGCTTAAAACAGCCATAGTCAAAACACAAACGATAAACTAGAAAAAACACTTTGACCCATTTTACAAAGGACTCTTTTCATGAATATATAAAGAGTTCCTGCAAATCAATTAGAAATGCCAACAACTCAATAGATAAAAGCGTACTTTTTATGATCAGATTGTTTAAAGACAGGAAATACAAACAGATCTTATGCAAGCAAAAACATACCCAAGCTCATTTATAATAATAGAAATGCAAATTAAAACTCATGGAAGTATATTCTATTAATCATATTGGTAAAGAACAAAGAGTTTACTATACATAGAGGAAATAGAAACTCTCTTACATCACCAATAGAGTGCAAATAGACTCACGTCTAGAAATAAAATTTCATAATGGCATAAAAGTCACAAATATTGTGCCATTTTACCTAGTATTTTTTCTTTTAAGAATTTACCCAATAGATGTAATTCATACACATTTGAAATAAATTATCTAGAAGATTATTTATTGTAACATTCTTGGTGATAGCAAAAGACTGAGAATAATCTAAATGTTTATGACTAGGTTGGTAGTTAAAGAAATTATGAAAATTGCAAATACTTTGTAGCTATAAAGAATGTTTAAACTATTTATAATTTGGTAGAAATATAAAATTATCTCTTATTTTATACTGTTAAGAAAGAAGCATTATGCAAAATAGCAAATATAGTATACCATCATTGTGCAAGAGAGGAGAAAATAATTGTCTTCTTGTCTATGGATAAAATAGCTCTGAAATGGTAAACAAGAATCTGATAATATTTGTCACCTCTAGAAAGGTGTTAGCTTTTGGTAAAACAGCCCAGTAAATTTTGACTTGCTGCCCTAAAGCTTGGTATCCCTGTGATTTACCCAGTTTGGAAGTACTATTGCTGAAGTACATCTCAAATTCCACAAAACTCAGTGCTTCACAATGCCCACCATCCCACAACATTATTTTTTAATCCATTGTTTGTTGCAATGGTTAATTTTATGTATCAACTTGGAGGGTGTTTTTGGATGAGATTAATACTTAAATCAGTGGACTCTGAGTGCAATAGATTGCATTCCCTAATGTATACATTTGTCTCATCCAATCAGTCGGAGGCTGATTGGAAGGTGTTTTTGGATGAAACGCTCATGAGTGGGACCTAAGCTATGAGGATGCAAAGGCATAAAAATGACACAATGGGCTGGGCATGGTGGCTCATGCCTGTAATCCCAGCACTTTGGGAGGCCAAAGCAGGCAGATCGTGAGGTAAAGAGATCAAGACCATCCTGGGCAATATGGCGAAACCCTGTCTCTACTAAAAATACAAAAAATTAGCTGGGCATGATGGCACATACCTATAGTCCCAGCTGCTTGGGAAGCTGAGGCAGGAGAATCACTTGAACCCAGGAGGTAGATTGTGCCACTGCACTCCAGACTGGCAACAGAGCGAGACTCCATCTCAAAAAAAAAAAAAAAAAAAAAGAGACACAATGGACTTTGGGGACTCAAGGGAAAGGGTGGGAAGGGGGTGAGGGATAAAAGACTACAAATTGGGTGCAATGTATACTGCTTGAGAGATGGGTGCACCAAAATCTCACAAATCACCACCAACAAACTTACTCGTGTAATCAAGTATCACCTGTTCCTCCAAAACCTATGGAAGCCAAAAATGAAAAATAGATAATTTTTAAAATTGTAACCATAAAAACAGATACAAAAATTACTCAAGTCATAAGCGTATAGCTTGACAAACTATCACCAAGTAAACACAATGGTATAGCTACCTTTATGATCAAGAAATAGAACCCACCCATGCAAGAGAAGTACTCCTTTCTTGGTATTCTGTCCACCTTGCTTCCAAAAGATGAGCTCTGTTCCAGGACTCTAATGCCCTAGTTAGTTTTTATCATCTCAAACTTTATGTAAATAGAATCACCCAATACATAGAGCTTTCTTTCTGGCTCTTTTACTGAATGCCATGCTTGAAAGCTACACTCATGTTGCTGTATGCATCTTGAGCGTGTTCCTTTTCATTGGTGTATGGAATTCTATTTGTCTACTCTTGATGGACATTTGAGTTGTTTCCATTTGGGAGCTATTATGAACGATGTTGCTATGGATATCTGTGTTTGTGTTTTTTGCTGCATATATGTGCACATTTGTGTGAAGGATAAGCCAAGGCATACAGTTACTGGGGCACAGGAAGTGAGTATGTTAAAACTTAGTAGATAACACTAAATACTTTTCCAGCATACTCGCCCCAGTTTACACTCTGAGAGGCAGAGCTCTAGCCAACACCTGGCATCATCAGCATTTTAAATTAAAGACATTTTGGTAAGGATGTGAAAGGACAATGTTATGATTTCAGTGTGTTTATTTTCCTGAGGATTCATTGTTTTGAGCATCTTTTCATAACTTCTTTTTTTCTTTTGCTGCTGTAGTTTCCGTTTTGTTTTATTCTACGCCTGGTTGTTTTGATATGGTGCTGAACATGGCGTATGTGGAAATATCCTGAGGCCTTGAATGTTACTGTACTCCTCCTAGGATGGCTTATTTTTGGTTTCTGACAAGCTGGGTGTTTGGGAGCACTTAGCAAAGGGAGATGATTTAGACAGGATTTGCAGCAATGGAGTGAGCTGGGCCTCAACCCTCCAAGGGCAGTGCTGCCTCCACTTGACCCTTGTTTTAGTTTCCCAAGGCTGCCATGACAAAGTTACCAAAACTGGTGGCTTAGAACAGCAGAAATATATTCTCTCTCATCGACAGGACTGGTTTCTCATGAAGGTGTGAGGAAGAATCTACTCCAGGCATTCTCCTAGCTTCCGGGGTTGTGCTGACGGTCTTTGATGTGTGGAAGCATCACAGCATCCCCGGCTTCATCTTCATATGGTGCTCTCCTCATGTGCTTGTCTGTGTCCAAATCTGCCCATTTTATAAAGACACCATCGTATTGGAGAAGGGCCCATTCTAATGATCTTAACTTGATCGTCTGCAAAGACGCTATCACCAAAGAAGGTCACATTCACAGGCCACAGGGATTAGGACTTAAACCACCTTTTGAGGATGCAATGAAACTCACAGCACTCCTTATTCCTACACCTTAGCCAAAGGAGTGTTGAATAAAGGCCTTATTCATTGGTGGGCCGGCACAGTCAAATTGTGTCCCTTGAATTCCACAGGTGTTCTGCAATCTCACTTGTCCTCTCTGCTTCTAAGCTGCCGTGCTTAGAATCAACAGGTGCCTCACAGGGAAAACAAGCCCCGTCTGTCAGGATGTCCTGAATGGTAGCCCCTCAGGTTCTCCCTGCTTTGCTGTAGGCAAATGTGTGACACTAAGTTACACTGAAACGTCAGAGAGACAATTAATAACTTTTGACACGTGTCCCATGCTATATTTGGAACATACATGAACTAAAAATTACCTATTGCTTATCTGAAACTGAAATTTTAACTGGTGTTCAGTTTTCTTAATTGTGAAATCTGAGGTTTCTACTTTGGGAGCCCTATAGTTTCAAACAGATTTTAATTGTGTGTGTGTATATATTGATACATTTAACACATAGTATGTCTCATTGTTTTGAGTTGGAAGGTGAGTCAGAAGCCAGCTAGATGGACATTGCTAGAAGAGGAATTCTCCTCTGTTTTGACAAAAGTTTTTTACTGGCTAGGGATTCCTAGAGGACTGGTCATACCTCTTTGCACTCTCGCCTTATACAAAAAGCACAGAATAAACACTGGCCAGATGGAAATGAACTAAGTGATGCCCTTTATACTAACGCGCATATCCATTTCACAATGCCATGGACCAATGTTCTCATCTCAGTTGTGACTTAACTCTCTCTCCCCAACGAGCGAGGGGCTGAATGATCACCTTAGTCTTCACCGGAAGAATTCTCCTGGGATGACTTCAAGGAGTGTAAGTCTATTTTATTTTCTAAATGTCCCAAGACTTGCAATTGTTGAGTATTGAATATTTTCTTAGTAAATGATCTTGTCGTGAACGGGCTAGCCTTCTTTTTTTGTTCTATCAAGAAGCAGGTCTATGCTGTCAGGCCCCCTTGCCATGATCCAATAGAGGCAGAAGTGTGGTTGCAAGCTAATAATCTATGCATGGTTCTACCCATTGTAGGATGATGGCTTGGGCAGCCCGGGCTATTTTATTGTTCTAAAGAAATAATAGGCTGAGGACACTTTACTGCCAAGAGAACAGAATGATCATCAGTAGCTTAACTGAGCTGAACATAAACGACCTTATTTAAATCTCTTAAAATCTGGAGAGGAAACAAATCTCTCCCTTGTTGAATGTTAAATGAAAACAAATTGTTAGATAACTTCTCTATGTTCATTTACCTTCCTTCTCCCATGCTGCCAAAATCAAAGAAAGAAAAAAAAAGTCTTATAATTTAAAAAAGGTCTCGATGAGTAAAATATTTAGCGTGATGGAAAACTCAAAGTAAGTTTTCTTAAAAATAAAATAAGACATTTTTGTTCTAAGAAGATTTGGAAGGTCCTGAAATACCCAGTAATTAAAATTACTCAGAGAGAATTACATAATCTAACAGATGCAATTTTTATATCTGTGCTTCATTAATCTAGTGTTCCTTGAGCACACACTACCACATTACCGTTTGCTGAGGACACATTTCAAGCTGTCAAAGATTAATTAGGTAAATCATCACTAGTATTTTAGGATAATAATTTGTTTTCTTTACACTCTTCTTAGGTAGCTAAATGATAATCTCCATTGGTCTTTTTCACAACACTCTGGGCTAAGTTTTTTTTTTATTTTTTAATGTAAGCCTAGTGCTCTGGAATAATTACCAGGACTTCTCAAGATGCCTGCTTTTCCTACAGCTGACTTGCAACAATTTATAGAAACTTACAAATAAGCTACATACCAGGGAAAGCTCTGTGCCCAACACACCAAAGCATCAAATAAGCTTAGTACCAGTGAGACTCTGAGCCCAATATACCAAAAAGTACCGAGTCTGGCTTCAAAAAGTGTAACATCTCAAATCAGTGCCTGGAGTATTGAAAGACATTGTTTTTTAATTTTGTGATTTTAAAAAACTTTTCCCCTGAATGCTAGGGAATTGATCTGAGAATCATCATCTCAATGCATTTCCTGAGGAATTCTTTGGGAGCAGGAATTTGTCAGACTTTAATGCAAATGGGCAGTGCCTGCAAGTTCTTGCCCCTTATTTATTATTCGCTTTAGTATAATGTCGATGTTCAGAGTGTGCTTTGGTAGGAATTTGGTGGCATTTCCTCCATGCCTCAGTGTGTTAGTCAAAGCCCCACGGCTTTTCAAACCACGTCAGATCCTCCACTTGCACGTCGTCTTGTGCAAAACCTGTTTCCCTCTTACTCAGTGGTTCAGCCTGTTCCCATTCTACAGCTCTTACAGCGAGTTCCAAAAACTAGTTTCTCAACGCAGATAGAATGGAAAAGAGCAGCAACAATAAAGATTTATCATTAAGGACTGTGATGGAAGTTTACTTCATCTCCACTTAAACAAACAAAATAGTAAACCAATTGATTTGGTAAATCAAGCCATTGATTCTTATCATCAAATAAATCTTTATTGTCTTAATTACCTAATATCACTTGTATCATTGTGAATTTGCAATTTTAGCTCTGCTGTATAGAACATGATACTGCTGCCAAAACGCTTTACACAGTAATTCAGTGAAAGAGCGTTCACAAAGCATGTTTTCAAAGTATTCTTTATGGATTCTTCTAAGAGTGAAATTCATGTTTATGGAATTATATGGTCTCTCATAAACTTTTCCCTCCTTCCTCTATTTATAGTGGACAAATTTTGCCAAGCCTGGGTCAAGAACTATGTCAAATATTCGAACGATGTTGCAGTGTTGAATTCCTCAACACAGACCAGCTCCTCGGCTTTGGTTTCGTAACGGTTGTGTCCTCATGAATTGAAGGTTTATGCTTCTATTTTGAACCAATCTGTTAGACTCATTAGCATTCTCGTTCACTTGCCCTACATAGCTGGAGCTGTTTCCCTCTTTAGGTGTGAGAGCAACAGCTGTGGAAAATATTCAAATTATACTGGTGACCTTGTTAACAAGGAACTTGCGAGCACATTTGCCTCCACTGGAACTGTAATTTATAAAAATATAATTTAGCCACAGAGCTAGTAAAATGGGTTAACAATTATTTTTATTGTGTAGGCCATTTCGTTGTTTCTTTCCATATTTGTTATTGAAATTACAGTAATAAGAACAAAGCATTTTACCATTCTCATTACATGCCACACAACCCGAGCAGTGATTTAAAGAAAAAAAAAATTGAGTGCAGGATGTGATGTTAGCAGGGAGCACCTCTGCGATGCTGACATCCTCCTGGCACTCTTTCTGACTCATTATCCAGTTCCCTGATTTATCTAGAAACCTTGCACCAAGTTAAAAATATTTTGGTTTAGATATAACTGATATTGTCTCCTTCTGGCTCAGAAACTTCCCACCAGTCCTTTTTTGCCTTTTGAAAAGCAGATGAACCCTGTGTGGCTTTGGAGGTTTCCTGCAATGTAGTTCCACCAGCTGGTGCAGCCATTGCCTCTGTACAAGAGCTCCTGGGCTCTGACAAACAGAGTGACTGCTGCTCCCCCTAGCACCAGCCTTTCCGGGCCATCTGGCCTCAGATACTGGCATTGCTCATCCTTGGGGATCTCTTCTCCTTCTAATGACCATCCCACTTGAAGGATCATCTGAAGGCCAACTCCTGCATTAAGAGTTTCCCCATGCCCTCCCACATAACTCCATCTGTGCCCCACTGAAGGCACATTCATTATGCACCTCATTTCATCTGAACTCTCTGGTAGT
This sequence comes from Homo sapiens, assembly GCF_000001405.40. Taxonomy (NCBI): domain Eukaryota; kingdom Metazoa; phylum Chordata; class Mammalia; order Primates; family Hominidae; genus Homo; species Homo sapiens. Next base: position 3,623,037 of record NC_000010.11, on the reverse strand, counting down.
CCCTTTTTATACTTCTCTTGTGATTCAGGTTTCATAACTCTTGAGGGCAAAGACTCTTTTACTCATCTGTCCCTTTACTCTGTAAGCTAGGTCCACAATAAATGTTCATTAACTTAAATTCTAAAACTTCATTTTGTTGGATAAAGAATAACCACAGAATGGAGACAAAAAATCTCACTTGCAGAATATGGTATTTTCTCTGTTCACCAGAAGTGTATTGCTCCAAATGCACTGAGAGTGTTGGAGGTTAGGACTGACAACATTTTTCCAAAAGCACAGCACAGATGGGCTCAAAAAGCAAAATAGGAGACCAGCAATCTATTCACAGAGCACTTTCACCTTGGACTTCTTAGAACTCTTGACTGCCACCCACTGCTTTCCGTTGTTAAATTACCCTTTTCAGCTACAGTCATTCATTGCTTAATGTTGGGGACATGTTCTGGGAAATGTGCTATTAGGTGATTTTGTCATTGTGTGAACATCATAGAGTGTCCTTACACACATGTAGATGGCATAGCCTACTATACGCCTAGGCTGTATGATGTAGCCTGTGCCCCTAGGCTGCAAACCTGGATGGCATATGACTGTGCTGAATACTGTAGGCAATTGGAACACAATGGTATTGGTGTATCTAAACATACTAAACACGTAAAAGATACAGTAAAAATATGGTATTAGAATCTTATGGGACTACCATAGAATATGCGGTCCTTCATTGATGAATGGTCATTATGCAGCATATCAATTAGTCCATACCCTCTCTGTAAGGTAGGCATTTTGTCTTGTTGCCTCTACGTATCCCCTTCCCCTAGCAGAGTGTCTTGTCTATAGCAAGCCCCAGTAAATACTGTTGTTTTGCAATCCACATTGAGGAGGCCGAGCACAGCGCTTGGGTTTGCACCTGCCTGTATTTGCTTCTGCTTTGAGATTCACGTTTGGCCCGTCCCCTCCGTTCACCAGCCTGACCCTGCACTGGCTGCTCTTCCCAACGTGATGGATGCCCTGCCCTGACCAGGGGGTCCTCTTGCTTCATCCCTTTCATGGGCTGCATGCCATGAACCCAATGAGCTTCCTCACTAAAGCCTACTCTGATGCTGCTCTTGTCAGCTCCCCAAATGTAGCCTGGTCCCTGGCAGTACCAGTTGTCCCTACTTGACTACCTGGTGCAAAAGGAGCTACAGGAACTTATTGCTAAGTGATCAGACGATGCTACTACTTGTTGCTTTGAGGACTCAGCTTGAAAAACTACTTTTGTCTGAATTTCCTTTTTTTTTCCCCTAAATCTTTCTAGTGGTCTCAAAAGGTGTGAGTGTGAGGAATATTAATATACTTTTATGTATATGTTTTAAATTGCACAGATATTCGTGGGAAATAACTTTTTTTCAATAGGTTTTTGGGAAACAGGTGGTGTTTGGTTACATGAATAAGTTCTTTAGTGGTGATTTCTGAGATTTCAGTTCACCCATCACCTGAGCAGTGTCCACTGTACCCAATGTATAGCCTTTTATCCCTCATCCCCTCCCACCCTTTCCCCCAAGTCCCCAAAGTCCATTGTATTATTCTTATGTCTTTGTGTCCTCATAGCTTAGCTCCCATTTATGAGTGAGAACACAGGATGTTTGGCTTTCCATTCTTGAGTTACTTTACTTAGAATAATGGTCTCCAATTCCATCCAGGTTGCTGCAAATGCCATTATTTCATTCCTTTTTATGGCTTAGTAGTATTCCATGGTAAATATACATCACATTTTCTTTATCCACTCGTTGATTGATGGGCATTTGGGCTGGTTCCATATTTTTGCAGTTGCAAATTGTGGTGCTATAAACATATTTGTGCAAGTATCTTTTTCATCTAATGACTTCTTTTCTTCTGAGTAGATACCCAGGAGTGGGATGGTAGGTAGATCTACTTTTAGTTCTTTAAGGAATCTCATGGGAAATAATTTTCTATTACTGGTTTGATGCTTGCTCAAGTCAGTTTTTCAAGTTAGTTTTTCTTTCAGATGTATAATATGCTGAGTGTACATTTTAACAAGAACAGATGACCCAGACAAATTTTAAGAAAAATGGATTAGAAATACTGGACCAACATGTCCGTGAAGGAAGGAAAACGTCACACTACTCTTTTTTGTCTCTGTTTTTGTTTGTTTGGTTTTGGCTAGATTCCTGCTGGTGATGTCTCTATGAAAGTTTACAAACCAATGATCTGCCCCTCCCAGCCAGGTGCCAAGCCCTGTGTGGATTTCATCAGTCTTTTTCAGAGAAAGAGGGCACCATGTTTTGATCCTTCCCCTTGCATATCAACCATCTCACTTGCTCTGCTGCTTTACTGTTCAGCTTCACTCCCAGAAATTCCAGATTGCTATCATAGAATTCTTTTGCAGGGTTAGTGATGAGTTTTTACTTTATACTGAAACACACTGCTTGAAAATAAACAGAGTAGTCATTTTTTCCACCACTTTGTCTTCTTGGAAAATGTATGTGAGCATGTGTTGGTGCATGTATGTGCATGTGCAAGCATGTGTGCCCTGAACGTTTAAGCACATATGTGTGTTTTGCACTAGTAGAGAGGATATGACCAGACTCTATCATACAGCTCATGCAAAGCCGTTAGGTCAGTGTTTGACACATAATACATAATTTTAAAATAAGGAGCAGAAGAGGTAATGATCCTATTAGCACTAGAACTTAGTTAAAGGAAAACAGATATTCCTAAACTTGAAGTGATTTTTCAAGTATAGTAGCCATGTTTAGCTCTCAGTAATTTTGACCTCAAGATTTTAATCTAAGGAGTATTTCTCAAAGTAGGTCCACCTGATGTTAATAAATTTTACTCAAAACTAGGGACATATTTTAAAAATGTTCCATGACAAACAGTGCCTGTAAAATATTGGGTTAAAAACAATCAAGATGCGTTCTTTTTAGCAGGACTTGGCAGGGCTTCGAACCTGCTAAATTGCTCTGTGACCTACATTATGAATGATAGCCCGTAATTACTTGACCATGGAAGACTTTTCTAGGACTAGTGTTAAAAGTCAAAACAAAAACAAAGCAAAAATAACAAACAAAAACAGACACTGGAAAGTACAAACCTAGGGAATCCAGAATTTGGAACAGTTTTATAGGACTTGTGCAGATGAAACTCAGAGCTTTTCTCTTCTCTGATCCCAATTTAGAAGCCACTTGCCGAATTTTTTTTCATCTGTGTGCTCACTTAGATGTAACCTGAATTTAGGATTGAGACTTTTTCCAACTTCTTTCTCTAAAATTGAAAGGTCACATTTTTTCCATAACATAAAGCTCTCTAGGAATATATTGTCATTTCACAAGAGAAACTGTCTAAATGGTAGTTTCTCCTTTATAAGTTCATCAGAAACCAATGGACTGATGAGCTGAAGCACTCCTTCAATCTATAATTTTATGGAGGATTAAAAGTGGGATGTACAAATCTGCAATAAACCAACACAATTTATGGCCATATTTCCTGTAAGAATTGTTAAGAGATGACAATAAATCAAGGATGTTTCTCTTCTATTGCAGCTCTTGCAGCTCAATGGGAGCTGTCATGCTCTGCGGAGCAGAGAGGAGCCATTATTATTCAAGGCCACCCTTACCTGGTCTTAATAACACCTTGTAGCAAAATTAATTTACCTTTAAAATTCCTGTTGCCATAACAACTTGGTGCAGCTGTTCATGTGACTTAATGAGATTCCAGAATAAAAACCGTTTTAGAGAGAAGGCTGAATAAATGGAGATCAACTGCCTTAAATAATTTTATTTAAACATTAGTTGATGGCTGAAGGAAATGCTTACTGTGTAAGAGGAGGCACAGGTCTTTGCTTTGGTGTCTGCCTTTATTTTCTTTACTCTTTAATCCCAAGGCATTTGTTTTTTCTTTTCTCCCCCTCCTCCTCCTGTTTCCAGGGTTTCCTTGGTTTGCTGTACACCATAAGTGTGGGTTAGGATAGTCCAAAATAAAACAGAGATTCTTTTGATTATGAAAAATAAAGATTACTTTATATAAAAGTATTTCTCCTTTTTAAAATGCAGGCTGCTAGTGAGGTCAAAACATATTAGATTTGGAATAGAAAATATGTCCACAGTGCATTTCACTTAGATTATCTTTGCATTAGTGTTTTTTGAAACTGCATACTGTCCCAAAATACAATTGATCAAGTAAAAGCCTGGGGTTCAGTCAGTCCTGTATTAAGTCAAACTTCACTCCCCTCTCAAGGTTCATATCCCATTTCTTCGTAAAGTGGGCATTTAAATATGACAAAAAAGACCACTGTGGTGACTCATGCCTGTAATCCCAGCACTTTGGGAGGTCAAGATGGGAGGATCACTTGAGCCCAGGAGCTCAAGACCAGCCTGGGAAACATAGTGAGACTCCATCTCTAAAAAAAAAAATTAAAAATTAAAAATTAAATTAAACATGATAAAAAAATCTAAAATTTTTTTTTAATTATCTAAAAAATAAAGTCAGCAATACTAGTCTGAATCCTCTTTGGTGCCTGCATCTGATGTGTTTACTTGATTTATTGATAAATGGAAAAATAGTACAGGATAATTTTTGAAAATTTGGAAAATGCAGGAAAAAAAAATAAAGAATATGCAAAGCTCCCATAATCTCATAATGTGGATATAATTACATGCTATAATGTATTGCTGGTCTCTCTGGAATAGAACCTGTCCTTTTTACTTAACAATTAAATATTCTTCCATAAAATGTCTGGTGGTCCCAACTTTTAAAAATAAACTTTTGAATACTTTTAATATTTTCCAAAATAGAATATTGCTCATGAATGTGAGTGTGTAGATGCACTCTCATACATATGTACGTGTGGAGAGATACGGGGAGAAGAGAGGAGAGGGAAGGAAAGAAGGGAAATATTGTGTTATTGAAAAATGAGTATTTTAATCAATTTCCTTTATTAAACATTTAGAGTATACCTATTTTTGTTCTTATAAATAATTCTGTAAAATGTATGAATGCCCACAGATTTTTCAATGATTCTCTGTTCCTGTAGCTAATTTCCTATTCCCAAGTTAACACAAAGAGTTATGTTTAAGATTTTTGATACACATTACCCAATTCTTTATACAAAGTTGCAAATTTACACTTTCAGCAGCCATGTAGGACAGGGCTCTGTCCTCTCTGCCCTTCACTCACACTCATACTTGATGCTATCACTAAAATGTTCTCCTTGACTTTGATAAGTCAAAAGTACTGGCTTTATATTGCACTTCTCTGATAATCAGCACTAAGTTGAACTTTTATTGGTACGCTACCTGTTGAGATCCACCTGGCCATTTGGAGCTTTGGTCAGCTTGGGTAAAGCTTTTCCCAGCCCGCCTCTTTATGAAGTTAAGTATATTTTAATTGGTCACTTCTGGCCCGAGCTCCATCCGGCCTCAGTCAACTTCTCTGGTTCTATATGCAGGGACCCAAAAGCAGAGGGTAGATTCCACCTCTAGTTATTCAGGCTCAGGCATCAACTAAGACAGCATTGAGAAGTATGCATAGGCATGTGGATGGAGATCTTGGAAGATTGTGGAAGAGTTAGGAAGAATATTTACAATGCACTAGTGTAAACAAATTAAAATAGAATATTTTACAATCTTGTTCTAAAAACCCTTTCAGGCCCTCTTCCACTGGTCACAGCCAGCGTCCTCTTTCAAAGTTCCCTTCTTTCTTCCTTTTACGATTCTCCAATTTCCTCTGTGTTGTTATGTGGCGCAAATAAAACCCGTCTAGTCTATGCTCCATACTCAGTCCCAGGTTTCTTCTTTCCCTGTATTCAAAGATGCTTGGTGTGCCCTTTTCCATGAAGAGCCTACCTCCCAGCATTCCCCAGCATCAGAATATGGAGGGAGTGGCATGGAGATTTCCTTTTCCCATGAAGTATTTCAGCTTTCTTAGGGGGCAGAAGCAACTGCAGCTCTCAGTAACACTTTTACTTTGTATGTCAGAGAGCTGCAGCACCCTGGAAAGCATATCAACAGGGATGAGGACAGACTGGTTCCCTAGAGCCACACCAGGATGGCATCTAGGATAGAGAATCAAGAACTTGAGTTGTCAGTGATCTAGCAGAAGAGTCCTTCTGAGAAATAAACACTTCCTTAGGTGTTCAAGTTGCTATTAACCACTGGTTCTCATTCTGCTGAAAATTTTATAAATAAAACTATGCAGTAGTTAAAGGTAAAATCTATAAATCTACTTTAAAAATTGCGTATCAGCTTGAAATGTAGAGCAAGATCAGCACTTCTAAGGTGCTCCTCAGAATACCAGTTCTAGAGGATGTTAATAAATGTGACCAAAAAAAAAAAAAAAAGAAAGAAAGAAAGAAAAGAAAAAAAAGAAACCAGGCTGAATATTCAAAAAATCTGGTAAATACCAGGTTGAAGGATATTGACCTGGATTTCACATCAGAGCCCTTCTCACTGTGCCACATAGGCTAAGAGCACTGCCATACACCTTAGACTTGTTTGACCATGTAGCCTCTTTTCAAGAAGACCCTCACAAAATCAGTTTTCCACAGAAAAAACTTTGGGGACAACTATGCAGCACAGAGCCAACAGAAAGTGTGTTGAAGGTATTGCTGTGTCTAGCACCACACTTAGCATTCAACAGTCCAGAGGCCCAGAAAGCTTTGCAAGGTAACAGTCTTCAGCCTTGGGCCTAGGGGTCTATTTCTTCTTCGGGCAGAAGCCCTGCACATTCATTCACAGTCCTTCTACTCTGTCTTCCCTGAGGACACTGGACATGTCCAACTTACTTCCCCTAGTATTCCCTTGTTGAATTCCATTAGCAAATACTTGTTTAAAAGACATTTACACCATGATGTTGGTAGAATTTTCATTTCATAACTCAGCATCATTATAGTTTGTTCCTTTATTCATCGTTGTTATTCTTCAGGCTGTATGATTTGACCTGTAGTATGAATTTGTTGATGCAATAATAATCCATGTTACAGCAATGATCTAGTCTAATTATTTTGGTCAAGATTTAATATTTCTTATTAATAACCACTCACCCAGCAGGTTAAAATATTTTGCATATCTTATATATTTAATATATTATATGATTTCCCATATATAGCTTTAAAATTGTTCAGTGTGCACGGAAATTGGTTGTTATAGAGCTTCTTTCATTCCCAACCTTCATTTGGTTTTAAAACACCTTGTGTAGTGACTACATGCCAATAGAATAAAATAGATATTTTTCTGATAATTTCTACATAGTGTTATATCTGTCTTATATTGGAAGTTAAAGCCAAATACCTGCCCTCACATTGCATCTAAGTTACAGGAAACTTCAACAATGTCATGATTTGGGTCTGGAAGTGGTTTCTACCATTAGTGGAACTGGGACTCTGAATATAAATTAAACTTAATTATAGAAAAAGAGATGTTTGTCTTACCCCTGAACTGTGTATCCTGATACTTGGACTTGCTGTACTTGGCGGTCATCTGAAATTTCTTAGATTCTTTGTGAAACACATTCTTCTTTTTGGCTGGTGAAACCCTAGGCTAAGATTGGAGCCCATATCTTGGCAAATGACAACATGGCATAATTGGAAGCACAGAAGAAAGATGGTGTCTGTGATAAGCCCAGTGGACTACAAGGAGTTAAGCTTAAAAAATACTGCAGAATGCTTGACGCTGCTGGGAGATTTGAAGGATATCTTGCAGAGAAACGTAAAGAAAGCATGAACACCTTCTTACAGTTTGCATTTAAGATTAATCTGTGCCACTGGGTTTTTATCCAAATGGAATTTCCTGGAGATAAGAACATAGCCACTGAGTTCACCAAAGCAGAGGAACCCTGGCATCATTCTGCCAAGCTGCTCCATGCCCTAATATATCCTAAAATTGGAAGAATAAGGTGCCTGGTCTTGGGAGGAGGATGGTTGCCTGCATGGCTTGTATAAGATGATGCTATTCAGAGAGAGAGACAGAGAAGCATATTGACCCTTCTCTTTGTGTTGCTTGCATAGAATCCAAGCTTTGCATAGGAGAAAGTCAGCCATGGACAGAACCCACACATGGTAGGGCAGAGGTGGGCTAAGGTAGGCTAAGGCATGCTTATATCAAAACAATTATGCAATTCTATTCATTTATTTCTTTAAAAACTTTCATCTTCCTTTACCTCTCTGAATACACACATAGTTTACTATGACGTGCATATTCCTGAATAAATATCATTTCCTTTTAGAGAACCTCGCTCTGCTTGTTATTTAGGTTGATGCTTTCTCAGGTACCACAAGGACTGAATCACTTTTCTTCTCTTCCAAAACTACCCTTTCTTTGTCCTGTGTTCAAATGGAGGCAGATAACACAAAAGAAAGTGCTTGGCCTTGTCAAATTTCAGAATCATGATGTGCGTAAGTCTGGCTCTATGGCATTTTTTTTCCATAGCTACCGTTTAATGACTTTGTTTCCTATTAAAAACAAATCTAGGGAAATACAAAAATATTTTTTATGTAATAATGTGTATTTTCAAGACAGAAGATCTGCCAGGTGTGCTGGCTCACACCTGTAATCCCAGCACTTTGGGAGGCCAAGACCGGTGGATCACCTGAGGTCAGGAGTTAGAGGCCAGATTATTATGAATAATAATCCCTAACATTTTACTTCCAAATCTCTTTACCAAATGCAATTTTGGAATGGTCCTAATTTCTTGAGCTGTGCAATCTTCATAATTCAGAGCAGAAGGAAAAAGTCCAGAGAAAATGATATTTGCCTTTCTATGGGAGGTTTATTGGCGATACTATTTTTTGCAATTATGATATCTCTTAATGTTTTATTTATTGTTTCCCAGGGTTTCTATATAAAAGGCACATTAAAGAGCTCAGATTTAACTGCTGTGATTTCATAACTGCTGATCAGCTATGTGGGAAATACAGTTGCAGGCTTCTGGCCTGTTATCTGTGCTTATGAAAGCTGACAGAACTGGGGAGAGAAATGTTTTTTTTTGTTTTTTTTTTTCTCAAAATTAACTGGTAAGGAGCCATCTCCTGTTTCATAATGTGCCCTTCGCCACTCCTTGATTAAATCACATCTCAAATTCACAGGGAGATATTGAGATGTAAGAATATGATAATTCTTTCGTTCTATTCAACTGGTGTCTTTTTATCCACACAGATAGTAGAATTTTTCAAAAACGCCCCCAACTTGTACCAAATGCTGATCTGCTGCTCAACTGAAAGCAAAGCACCCCTCCCCTCCCTTCTGGTACAGTTGTCATAAAGGAGGCAGTTTTGTTTCCTTTACAACTCACTGGTAGCTAATACCTCTCATCCTTTCACTCAGTCAATGTTTCAGGATAAAATTTCCATATCAAGAAAATCATTTCACCACTGTTCCTATCTTTGCAAATTTGGTTAATCCATGATGGGTTTTAAAACTTCCTTTAGGTGTAAAAGAAGATGAACATATATAATCAAATGAAAGAACTGGAAGACTGTCTTTATTGTACTTTCTCAACCAATCCTTAGTGCAACACTGTCAAAAAAAGGAATTGTTACACATGTTGTCATGGTAACAAAAATACTAAGCACTCTGGAAGAGAAAACGCTTGGAAAAATCAAAGATTTGAGTATAACATTAGGATGGCTTGAAGATGATATATATACACACATATATATCTATGCATATATATTTCTCTTGTTAAAACTTTTTTATAACAGCCTTAAATAAAATAAAAATTAAATTGAATTTAATAAATAGTATTCTTTATTCTAAAATTGTGATTTCTGTAGCTTTAAAATTTTGTGTATCTTTATTTTTTTAATAATTTTAACTTTTATTTTAGATTCGTAGGGCACAGGTGCAGGTTTATTACCTGGATATATTGCATGATGCTGAGGCTTGGGGTAGAACTGATCTCATCACTCAGCTACTGAGCATAGTACGTGATAGTTTCTTTTTTTTTTAAACCCTTTCTTCCTTCCCTTTCACTCCCTCTAGTAGTTCCCAGTTTCTATTGTTGCTATCTTTATGTGCATGACCACCCAATGTTTAGCTCCAAGTTATAAGTGAGAACAAGAAGGATATGCATTTCTGTTCCTGTGTTAATTCTCTTAGGATAAAGAACTTCAGCCTGGGCAACAGAGTGAGACTCCGTCTCAAAAAAAAAAAAGAAAAAAAAAAAAAGAACTTCAGCTGTATTCATGTTGCTGCAAAGGACATGATTTCTTTCTTTTTCATGGCTGTGTAGTATTCCATGGTGTATATGTACCACATTTTCTTTATCCAGTCCACTGTTGATGGGCACCTTGGTTTATTCCATGCCTTTGCTATTGTGAATAGTGCTACAATGAACATGTGAGCGTGGGTGTTTTCTGGTAAAATGATTTATTTTCTTTTGGATATATACCCAGTAATGGAATTGCTGGGTCAAATGGTAGTTCGAAGTTTTGTGAGACATCTCTAAACTGATTTCCACAGTGGCTAAACTACTTTACATTTCCCCCAACAGTGTATCAGCTGTTCCCTTTTCTCCACAGCCTTGCCCATATCTGTTGGTTTTTGACTTTTTAGTAACAGTCATGCTGACTGGTGTGAGACAGTGCCTCATTGTAGTTTGATTTGCATTTCTCTGATGATTAATGATGATGAACATTTTTTCATGTTTGTTGGTCACTTGTATGTCTTCCTTTGAAAAGTGTCTGTTCATATCTTTTGCCCATTTTTAATGGGGTTATTTGTTTTTTGCTTGTTCAACTATTTAAGTTTCATGTAGATGATGGATATTAAACCCTTGTTGAATGAATAGTTTGTAAATATTTTATCCCATTCTGGAAGCTGTCTGTTCACTCTATTGATAGTTTCTTTTGCTGTGCAGAAGACCTTTAGTTTAATTAGATCCCACTTGTCATTTTTTGTTTTTGTTGCAACTGAATTGAGAACTTAGTCATAAGTTCTTTCCCAAAGCCAATATCCAGAATGTTGTTTTCTTCTAGAATTTTTTTATTTTGAGGTCTTACCTTTAAATCTTTAATCCATCTTCAGTTAATTTTTGTCTATGTTAAAAAGTAGGGGTCCAGTTTATTCTGCATATAGCTAGCAGCTATCTCAATACAATTTATTGAACAGGAAGTTCTTTCTCCTTTGCTTATTTTTGTCAACTTTATTAAAAATAAGATAGCTGTAGGTGTACAGCTTTTATTTCTGGGTTCTCTATTCTGTTCCATTTGTCTACATGTCTGTTTTTGTACCAGTACCATGCTGTTATGGTTACTATAGCCTTATAGTATGGTTTGAAGTCAGGTAATGTAAAACCTCTGATATTGTTTCTTTTTTCTTTTCTTTCCATTTTTTTTTTTTTTTTTTTTTTGCTTGGAATTGCTTTGGCTATTTGGGCTCTTTCTTTTGTTCCATGTGAAGATTAGCATAGCTGTTTCTAGTTCTGTAAAAAATGACGTTGGTAGCTTGATGGGAATACTATTGAATGTGTACATTGCTTTGGGTAGTATGGCCTTTTTCATATTAGTTCTTCCCATCCGTGAGCATGGTATGTTTTTCCATTTGTTTGTGTCATCTACAATTTATTTCTGCAGTGTTTTGTAGTTTCCCTTGTAGAGAATTTTACCTCCTTGGTTAGATGCACACCTAGATTTTAGTTTTGTGTGTGTGTGTGTGTGTGCGTGGCTATTGTAAATGAGATTGTGTTCTTGATTTGGCTTTCAGTTGAATGTCACTGGTGTATAGAAATGCTACTGACTTTTGTACGTTGATTTTGTATCTTAAATTTTACTGGTCGTTTATCAGTTGCAGAAGACTTGGTGGAGTCTTTAGTGTTTCTTAGGTATAGAATCATGTTGTCCACAAAGAGAGATTGACTTCTTTTCCTATTTGGATGCCTTTTATGTCTTTGTCTTGCCCAATTGATCTGGCTAGCACTTCCGGTACTAGGTTAAATAGGAGTGGTGAGAAAGGGTATCCTTGTCTTATTCTAGTTCTTAAAGGGAATGCTTCCATTTCTTGCCCATTCAGTGTGATGTTGACTGTGGGTTTGTCATAGGTAGCTCTTAATTTGAGGTTTGTTCCTTCAATGCCTAGTTAGTTTAGTATTTTTAGCATGAAGGGATATTGAAGTTTATCAAAAGCATTTTCCATGTCTATTGAGATGATTATATGGTTTTAGTTTTTAATTCTGTTTATGTGGTGAATCACACCTATTGATTTGTATGTATTAGGCAAAACTTGCATCTCAGGAATGAAGTTTACTTGGTTATGGTGAATTAACTTTTTGATGTGCTGTTGGATTTGGTTTGCTAGTATTTTGTTGAGTATTTTTGTGTCTTTATTCATTAGGGATATTGGCCTGTTGTTTTCTTTTTATTGTGTCTTTGCTAGGTTTTGTTATCAGGGTGATGTTGGTTTTATAAAAGGAGGGAGGCAGGAGTCTCTCCTCCTTATTTTTGAAATAGTTTCAGTAGAATTAGTACCAGCTCTTCTTTGTATGTCTAATAGAATTTGACTGTGAGTCCATGTGGTCCAGGTCTTTTTTTTTTTCTTTTGGTAGTTTTTTTTATTACTGATTCAATTTTGTAACTCAATATTGGTCTGTTTGGGTTTCCAGTTTCTTCCTAATTCAAGTTTGGAAGATTATGTGTTTCCAGGAATTCATCCATTTCTTCTAGATTTTCTAGTTTTTGTGCATACAGGTATTCATAATAGTCTCTGAGGACCTTTTGTATTTCTGTAGGATTGATTGTAATGTTATCTTTGTTGTTTCTGATTGTGCTTAATTGGATCTTTTTTTCTTTGTTAATTTAGCTAGCAGTCTATCAATCTTGTTTATCCTTTCAAAAAAAACAATTTTTGGTTTCATTGATTCTTTTTATGGTTTTGGGGTCTCAGTTTCATTTAGTTCTGCTCTGGTTTTAGTTATTTCATTTTTTTTGCTAGCTTTGGGGTTAGTTTGTTCTCATTTTTCCAGTTCCTCTAGAAGTGATGTTAGATCATTAGTTTGAGATCTGTCTAACTTTTTGAGGTATATGTTTAACACTATAAACTTTCCTCTTAATACTGTTTTTGCTGCATTCCATAGATTTTGATATGCCATGTCTCCGTTTTCATTTATTTCAATGATTCTTTTTACTTTTACCTTAATTTCATTGTTTACCCAAAAGTCATTAAGGAGCAAGTTGCTTAATTTCCCTGTAATTGCATAGTTTTGAGAGGTCTACTTGGTATTGATTTCTATTTTCATTCCACTGTGGTCCATGAGTGTGGTTGATATGATTTCTGTTTTTGTTTGTTTGTTTTAGTTTATTGAGACTTGCTTTGTAGTCAAGCTTGTGGTTTGATCGATTTTGGAGCACGTTCCGTGTGCAGATGAGAAGAATGTATATTCTGTGTTTCATGGGTGGAATATTCTGTAGATGTCTGTTAGGCACAATTGATCAAGTGTCAAATTTAAGTCCAGAATATCTTTATTAGTTTTTTGTCTTAATAATCTGTCTAATGCTGTCAGTGGAATGTTGAAGTACCTCACTATTACTGTGTGGCTTTGTAAGTCTTTTTGTAGATCTAGAAATACTTGTTTTATGAATCTGGGTACTCTAGTGTTGGATACTCTTGGTACTCTAATGTTGCATATATATTTAGGATAGTTAAGCCTTCTTATTGAATTGAACAATGTATCATTATTTAATGCCATTCTTTGTCCTTTATAAGTATGGTTTTGCTTAAAGTCTGTTTTGTCTGATATAATAATTTTTGTGTGTGTTCCATTTTTGTGGTAGATTTTTCTCTAACCCTTTACTTTGAGCATATCAGAGTCATTACACGTGAGATGGGTCTCTTGAAGAAAGCAGATAGATGCATCTTGGTTTTAGTTTTAGTTTTTTTTTAATCTAACTTACCACTCTGTGCCTTTTAAGTGGGGCATTTGGACCATTTACATTCAAAGTTAATGTTGATATGTGAGATTTTGATCCCATTGTGAAGTTGTTAGCTGATTGCTTTGTAGTTTCTACTGTGTGGTTGCTTTATGAGGTCTGTAAGCTCTGTATTTAAGTGTATTTTTGTGGTAGCAAGTATCATTCTTTCATTTCCATGTTTAGAACTTGATTAAGGATCTCTTGGAAGGCTGATCTAGTGGTAACCAATTCCCTTAGCACTTGCTTTTCTGGAAAATATTTTATTTCTTCTTCACTTATGAAGCTTAGTTTGGCAGGATATAAAATTCTTGGTTGGAATTTATTTTCTTTAAGAATGCTGACAATAGGCCTCCAGTCTCTCCTGGTTTGTAAGGTTTCTGCTGAAAAGTCCTCTGTTAGACTATTAGGATTCCCTTTGTACATGATCTGACCTTTTTTTCTAGCTGCCTTTAACATCTTTTTCTTTAATGTTAACCTTGGACAATCCAGGGACTACATGCTCTGGTGATGTTCATTTTGTATAACATCTTGTAGGTGTTCTCTGTATTTCTCATATCTGGATGTCTATCTCTTTAGCAAGATTATGGGAAGTTTCTTGAATTATTCCCTTAAATATGTTCTTCAGGTTGTTTATATTTTCTCCTTCTTTCTCAGGAATGCCAGTAATATGCAGATTTGGTGGCTTAACATAATCCCACATTTTTTCAAAGGCTTTGTTCATCTTTTTAAAATCATCTTTCTTTATTTTTGTCTCACCAAGTTAGTTCAAAAGACCAGTCTTCAAGCTCTGAAATTCTTTCTTTTGCTTGGTCTAGTCTATTGATAAAGCTGTCAATTGTATTTTTAAATTCCTTAAGTGAGTTTTTCAATTCTAGAAGCTCTGATGGATTTCTTTAAAGGTGTTTATCTCTTCCTTCATTTCCTCGGTGGCTTTGAAAGTTTCTCTGCATTGATTTTAAACCTTGTCTTAGATATCATTGAGCTTCCTTGAAATCCATGCCTAGAATTTTTTATCTGTCACTTCTTAGTTTCCATGTTGGTTAACAACTGCTGAAGAGCTAGTGTGATCCTTTGGTGGTGTCACTACATTTAGATTTTTATGGTGCCAGAATTCTTGTGCTGGTTTCTTCTCAACTAGAGATGCCAGCACTCTTGAGTTTTGTAATTATATTCATGTGAGTAGAATTTTTTCGTTTTCTTTCTTTCTCTAAAATATATATAGTTTCCTTTCTCCTTCTCCCCCTACCCCCACTCCAGGGGATATAACTGTAGAGCACTGGGTAGGGTCTTTTGACTTTACTTCTATAGCCCTATGTACTTCTGTCAGCAGGTTTTATATTGCACTGTGCTCTTTGGCCTACAAGCCAGTTGATGGTATTTATAGATAATAATCACTTCAGCCAACATGGCTGGGCATATACTTTATTCTTGTTTACTGGGAGAAGCTCTTTGTTGCCTTAGACAATGGGTTTGTTGGCTGCATTCTCACCTAAACTCCCCACAGGGCTGGAGACCAGGATGAGTGAGGCCAGACCTGGAGAGTCCACCTACAGATTTCCCAATGGCAGGCATAAGCACCAACATCGAAGGATAATTCAATGGGTGACCATCATGTGCCCAGAGGTGTGTCTAGGCATGGAGCTTGAAAATATCCTTGGCTCCAAGTTCTCTGCATGGAGATGTGGGGCATCCAAATGCCTAATCCTGGAGAGTCAGTGCTAGAGAGGCCTGGAGAACTGCCTGGGCCTGGAGTGGAAAGGGTCCACCTGCACCAGGATCTCTGCCTTGGAAAGGTGGAGTGGCTCAGGCTGCTGTTCCAGGGGAGAGGGTGTTCTGAATGCTCAGAGATCTGCTTTGATCAGCCAGATGCTGTTGCAGGGGCTGTTTGCCCACATTCTCCTCTGCAGGTTCTGGGGGGTCCTTCACAACTCCATCGGATTCTCATTTTTCTTCTTGAATTAAAGCTCTCAGAATTCATGTCAATGCCCTGCCTCTCTATTTCCAAGTGGCTGAGACATGCTAAAAGCCTCTATTCTGCCATCTTGGGGAAAGAAAAAAAAAAACCCAGCTTTTAAATTTTGACTGATTTTCTCAGTAATCTAATTTTCTGGGAATTTATTGTGCTTTTATCATTGGCCTCTAACTCATCCAGATTATTATTGTAATTCCATTCACACTGGCAAGCAGCTGGCCCTGACTTTGCATTTTCTATTTTATTCTCACTTTTATTAATCTTCTCTTGGTCTCTTGTTCCTCTTCTCACCCCAACCACATGGAATTAAACAAACCTTCACCTTTAAAAAGCAATGCTAAAGCCAAGCCAGCAACCACACTACCCCAAAAGCTTTTAGTTGGGTTGCTAACCTTAAGTAATATATTTTGGTGAACTATTTCTACTCTTTGCCTCAGATTTCCACCATATTTCCCTAAAGATAACACTAACGTACAGTTGAACTAGTCTTCCAATACCATCTTGAGGCCAAGTCCAATATATCAACAAGAATGAGGGGATATTTAAGCCAAGTGAATTTACATATTTCTTGTGTGGGCATTCACCAGATGCTTAGAAGAGAACTGACTCAAGAATGAAGGTAAATTTTTACAAGACATGCTACTCCACAGTTACAAAAATCAGAAGATAGCATACTCCCTGAATGAATCAAATCAAGAGCAGTGCAAAACCCATAGAATCAGATGTGGAAAGAACCCTAACCATCATGGTTAGGATTTTCAACCAATTTCAGGTTATTAATACTAGATCATGCTTTAAAAAGTGATTTAACAAATGCAGTTGATGTGTTTGCCTTGACATGCAAAAATGTATCTGATATATTAAAGTTGAAGTAAGATTTATATACAATGAAATGCACAGATCTTAAATGTGTAAGTCTATGTGTTTTAATAAATATATACCCCCATAACCAGCACCCCTAACAAGACGGGGGCATTTCTATCACCCCAGAAACTCCTCCCTGGGGGCCGTTCCAGCAAATTCTCAACCCCTACTGGCAACAACTATATTAATTTATATAATCATGAAATCATACTAAATGTTTCCATTTGTGTTCAGCTTCTTAGATCAACACATTTTTGTGACTCATCCATGTTTCTGCTTTTGTCAGCAATTCAGTTTTTTAAATTTCTGAAAAGTATTCTACTGTACAATTACAGCTTATCCATTTTTCTGTTGATAAAAATTTGAATTCTTAAATTGGGCTATTATGAATAAGAATGCTATACACCTTCTTGCCCAAATATTTCTGTGGACATATGTTTTCATTTCTCTTGGGTAAATACCTAGAAACGACATTACTGGGCCATAGAATGGGCGTGTGTTTAGTTTTCTAAGACACTGCAGGTTTTCTAAAGTGGTTGTACCATTTTATCTTCTCACCATTAAGGTATGAAAGGTCCCACAAACTCATCATTACTTGATATGATCGTATTATTTAACTTTAGGAAGGCTTTAACTCATTGTTTTTTCATTGTTTTCTTTGATAACTAATAATGTGGAACATCTTTTTATGTGCTGCTATTGTTTTTGTTATTTCTCTTCCTTTTACTATAGGTGCTTTTGTGTCCTGACTAGAAAATATTTACTTATGCTGACGTTATAAAGTTCTCTCACATTTTCTCCCAGGAGCATTATGATTTTAGCTCTTATGTTTTCTCAGTGATGAAAGATAAGGTCTGAGCTCATCTTCCCCTATGATTGCATTTTTTCTATTCTTTAACAGTGTTTGTTGAAAGACTTTCCTTTCCACATTGAAATGTCAAGGTCCCTTTGTGATGGGTCCATACTAGAATTTCTACTATGTTACAAAAATCCATTTTTGATCATTATGCCAATACCATACTGTGTTGATTACTGTAGCTTCATAAGTCCTGAATTCAGGTAGTTTGAATCTTCAAAATTTGTTCTTCAGACAAATATATTGTTAAATTCAAAAGAACAATGATCATTTTGGTATAAAGAAATAATATATAAAAAGAAGCATATATAAATGTATACATTAATATAAATGTAGGGCAAAGCAAGACACCATAAGCAATGATATTCTTTGGAGATAGATACTGTTATTTGAATAAAGAGTCTTGCACTTTGGATTTTATGTCCTGTAGAAAATATAGCATTTAATTCTTTAAATTCACTCATGAATTAGTTGCATTTAAAATGTTTATGGTAAAATCATAAAATTTTAAAAATATTCAACCATATTTGAAATTTAAAAAGTGCTTTTCTCCAAACAAATGTATCAGCTTTTCATTGACAGATGAGTTGATTGATAGAAAGAGGATGGAAGCTCATATTTGTGAATGCTTAGTCTGCATCAATGCTTATAAATTTGTTCTTTCAGTAAGAAGATATGCTTGACTCAAAAGGGCTAGTTAACATGTTCAAAGTCACACATTCAGTAGGTGATATAGGTGGGATATCCCTGTGACATTCCAAAGTTCACTCCTTTTCTTTTTTTTCTTTCTTTCTTTCTTTTTTTTTTTTTTTTTTTTTTTGAGGCAGAGTCTTGCTATGTCGCCCAGGCTGGAGTGCAGTGGCGCAATCTCGGCTCACTGCAAGCTCCCCCTCCCAGGTTCACGCCATTCTTCTGCCTCAGCCTCCTGAGTAGCTGGAACTACAGGCGCCTGCCACCATGCCCAGCTAATTTTTTGTATTTTTTAGTAGAGATGGGGTTTCACCATGTTAGCCAGGATGGTCTCCATCTCCTGACCTCGTGATCCACCCGCCTCGACCTCCCAAAGTGCTTGGATTACAGGCATGAGCCACCACACCTGGCCCACTCCATTTAAAAAAAAAAAAAAACAGCCTGGGCGTGGTGGCTACACCTGTAATCCCAACACTTTGGGAGGCCAAGGCAGGCAGATCATGAGGTCAAGAGATTGAGACCATCCTGGCCAACATGGTGAAACCCCGTCTCTACTAAAAATATAAAAATTAGCAGGGTGTGGTGGCGAGCATCTGTAATCCCAGCTACTCAGGAGGCCGAGGCAGGAGAATCACTTGAACCTGGGAGGTGGAGGTTGCAGTGGGCCAAGATCACGCCACTGCACTCTAGCCTGGCAACAGAGAGAGACTCAGAAAAAACAAACAAACAAAAAAAACCTATTCCCTCTTTAATTTTGTTAAAAAAAGTACCTGTGTAGGTTCATAAGAATTAAGAAAGAAAATACTACTGCTTCTTTCTGCACATCCTAGTTGACCAGTGCCAATGGCAAGGACTGTTAGAGGTTCCTCCAAGGATGACCTTTTCCACATTAACTGAGAAAAACAGATCGGAAGTGAGCTTCACCTGCCTGTGGAGAGGGGAGTAGCCCATCTTCTGACCCCACCTACTTCCATGTTTTCAGCAGCAAATCCAGGTTTCCTTATTAACAAATCTGCCCAAACTTATTAAACATTAGTCAGCCTCTTTAAACTGTGAAGAAAATTTTTTAGCATTCTGGGAAAAGACCTGAATTTGGCTTCCAAAACCTGAGTTGGAGAATTTTCAGGGTGTGATGAGATAGCCACTGTGAGTGGTCTCATAAGTAAGACACTGGAAGGCCACAGGCTGGGTCAGATATTTCCAGATGAAAAAGAAAACAAGATCTTGACCAAATACCCAGGGAACTGTCACACATATCAAATATTTCATGGATCAACTTTCCCAAAAGTTACATAGCAAAACTTCCTCTGTCGTCTCAGACGCTCAGAACACCCTTTATTCACAAAATAGAAGCAGTCACATAGGGACTTCTTCAATTTTCCATGACTGAATGCACTACCCTGCCAGCCTGTACCCTTGCCTTTTGATAAAGAGAGAAGATGTCTTGATCCTCTGAGAGGCCAGGACTCGCTGTGGTGGGGAGGTCACCACTCCTAATTGACTCAGGTGATTTCTTCCAAGAATGATTCCCTTGATAGGCTGGATAAAGAAAATGTGGTACATATGCACCATGGAATACTATGCAGCCATAAAAAGGAATGAGATCATATCCTTTGCAGTGACATGGATGGAGCTGGAAGCCATTATCTTCAGCAAGCTAACACAAGAACAGAAAACCAAACACCGCATGTTCTCACTCATAAGTGGCAGCTGAAAAAACGAGAACATATGGACGCAGGGAGAGGAACAACACACACTGGGACCTGTCAGGGGGTGTGGGGTGGGGGAAGGGAGAGCATTGAGAAAAACAGCTAATGCATGCTGGGCTTAATACCTAGGTGATGTGTTGATAGGTGCGGCAAACCACCATGGCACACGTTTACCTGTGTAACAAACCGGCACATCCTGCACATGTATCACAGCACTTAAAATTAGAAAAAAAAAATAAAAATAAAGCAATGTTTCCCTCCCTTTCCAGAAGAAAGGATCATCCCTATAGCTTACATGCTTGTGATGATGAGTGTCCCTTTAAAACACAATCCCCCATTGATCCCACTCCCTTCGAACCATCGTGTTGTCTTCTGCTGCCCTTCTTGAAAGTGTTTGTACGCTTGTCTCTACTGTTCGCCTTTTTCTCTCTCAATGCCAATCCATCACCCCTTTGTCCATACCTGCCACTGTGTTTCCTCTTAGCCACAGCACCATAGCTTCAAGTCCCACCTGTCCATCAGCAAAATCCATCTTCATCCCTCTCAGGTGCACAGTCTCAACAAGACGATGCAGACCTGCTGCCCTGGGGTTTAGCTTTAATCTTGGTTTTAATTATCATCTTAGATTGCAAACTTCTTGAGAACAAGATTTGAGCCTTCTGTTTTTCTAAGACTCCCAAAGACTTGCATTTTTATATCCCCATATTGCCTACCTTCATAGTGTGTTTAAAATAAAAGCTTCCTATGTCTTCATTAAAATAGGTATAAATATGAATGTTCTTTTCAAAAGATAACCTTTCCTTAAGCATGTGGGATTGTCTTGAAGATCATATAGCAGTGATTCATGAAAAATGACTTTGGATATGAAAAGCCATGGACCTTTCCCCATTGTTCCTAAATTTTGCAATGTCTGCCTTGAACATGAAGCGTTTGGGATGACCAAACAGATCCTGCCTTACTTGCTTACTCAGAATCCCACGAGGGGTGGTTTTATCTGATCAGCCCCTCCAGACAGCAAATCTTGGTTACAATTGCTCATTGGCTTCCTACCTAGATCATATTCCTCTCTTTAAAAATATCAGAAGCTGCTTTTGCTGTTAATTTGTGGTTTCATGAGATTAACAGAAAGGATTTGTTTGAATTTACTAATCTCAAGTTACGTGATGGACCATAACTTGTTTACAATTATCATGCATTTACACATATTTAACAATTAAATGCTATGCTGTGCAAGCCTAATAGTAACTCCACGGTTCACGCTGCCATGCCGGTGGGATTCAGGCTCAGGCATGGCTGCAGAAAATGCTTATATCTTAATTCCATTGGTTCCTCCTCCTTCCTCATTCTATTTCTGTGTCTTCCTTTGGTTCTTTTCTGTGCCATTTTTTCCAGAATTATTCCTCCTCATTTCGTGGTCTTTATGGCCATTGCAGAGACTTCTCTGATATGCTGTGAATATTTGTGTCCCTTCTAAAATTCATGTTAAAACATAATCCCCATGCAACCCTATGGGAGAGGTGGCCTTTGAGAGATGTAGAGTCCTGAAGGCCCCAGGATTAGCCTACTTATAAAAGGGCTTGACCCACAGAATTCTCCCCCTTTTACCTTCCACCTTTTCCATGAGAGGCCATAGAATTTTTACCCTGTGGACGACAGAGCCCTCAGAAGGCACCAAATGCCAGGACCTTGATCTTGGACTTCCCAGCCGCCAGAACTGTGAGAAATGAATTTCTATTCTTTATAAACTGTTCAGTCTCAGATCTTCTGTTACTGGAGCACAAATGGACTAAGACATTCTCATTGCTTTTCTGTCCTTAGGTCTTCACGTTTCAGACAAAGTCAGGGACCAGAAATTGAGGGTCAAGAGCATCTCAGGCTACATTTGCTTGAAGACACGTGTTATTTTGTCCTACACAATTCTTTAACTTAAAAATGTGAATTATTTGTTAACATTTAAATAGTAGGATATTCTACATGACATGAAGAATTTTTTTCTCTTAAAAAAACACAGAATCTAGATTAGCATTTCCACAGAACAACAGTTGACAAGATCGTCATAGCAGCTCTGGTCTCTCTGGAGGTCTGGAGTCCCAGGCTGGCTCCCATTTTTACTAGGACAACACCCAGCTGTGACTGTATTTTTTATTTACCTCCTGATCACCCAGGCATTTGAATTTCTGAATTCTGCCTTCTGCAAAGTTTTCTGATCCGACTGCTGCTGCACGCAGTGCTTATTACGCCATGAATCCATGAACAATGTGAGGATGCTCTTCTTCTATGTTCTAGTTCTATTCCTAGTTGTCTTGTAAACTCCTCGAACGTAGAAATTGTTACTTCCTCATCACGGGCACCATAAAGTGGCTTCTTTTTTGCCATCATTAGTTGAGTATAGTTTCAAGTATCCCAAGAAAGGAAGGTTTATGGAGCCTGTCTTAGCTTTGGGCAGGAAGAGATCATCTTCCAGGCAGAGTGCTGCTGGGAACATCTTGCCCGCTGGGCACGTTATTTCTATGTTACGCCATCGCACGTGCCCCAGAGGTTGCAGCCACCTGGGGTCTTAGGTTCATGTTCTATGTGTGTCTGTGAGTGAGAAATACATGTTGTATTTACTTCAGATAAAATTACCTGGTCGATTCTACCAGGTAATGGCTCTCTTTCTCTCTCTTATCGCATTTGGCTCCACAGGAGGTGATGAAATGTAATATGTTTTTGTTCAGGCGACATTGTTAGTCCCGATGGATTCCTGCCATTCTTGCTATACTCTTTTAGCCTGAATTATGATAGTGCAGTGATCTATTGAGAGTGTTGACAAAAAAAAATTCAACATTATCCTTTCTGTGAAAAAAGGTTGAATTTCCTTTGAATTCATCAGACATGAAATTTTGATGGAGGTTGCAGTGAGCCAAGAATGCGCCGTTGCACTCCAGCCCGGGCGACAAGAGTGAAACTCTGTCTCAAAACAAAACAAAACAAACAAACAAACAAACAAAATTAACCCCCCCACACTTGTTTATTTCAAGGGCATGTCTATGGATGTTATGTGTCGTTCAGCTTCAGAATTTGGAATTTTCCATTTTATCACTAAAATAATATCATTTTCCCATAGAAAATACAAGTCTTTTTGAATTTTAAATATGACGATTTAATTACGCATGACCTAAAAGCCAGTTTTCATTAGGTTAACCTCCGACGGCTGACTAAAGTTGGTAGCCAGCATCCTTTGCTGCTTCTGAAACATTGGTGTGAGAGAAAGATGCTTAAACTGTGTAATGGGAAAGAATTATAGACTATTGTCATACAATCAGCAAATATGCCTGTGAATATTTAACCTGCAGGCAGCAAAGCCCTGTGCAAAAAATACTACCACCCTTGGTAATAAATCCTATTACTAGAATGGCGTCAATCTGCCTTTTCATTAATAACTCCATAAAGAGCATGTTCCTTCTGTAAACATTCCAGATGGATTTTACAGAAGAATATCAGGTTGAGTCAACAGAAGTGTTGTAAAAAGACTAAATAGCATATGCTAATTCCCCTTCTCTCTTCGAAAAGGCAAACTAGTCAGGCGACTGGCAGTTTTCCTCCACTTTTCTTTTCTTTCTTTTTTTTTTTTTTTTTTTTTGAGACAGAGTCTCACTCTGTCGCCCAGGCTGAAGTGCAGTGGCGCGATCTCGGCTCTGCCCTCCCGGGTTCCAACAATTCTCCTGCCTCAGCCTCCCGAGTAGCTGGGACTACAGGCGCGCACAACCACACCCAGACAATGTTTTGTGTTTTTAGGAGAGACGAGGTTTCACCGTGTGAGCCGGGATGGTCTCCATCTCCTGACCTCATGATCCGATCCGCCCGCCTCGCCCTCCCAACTTCCTCCGCTTTTCTAGTGAATTCCTGCGCTGTCCAGGTCCACTCAGCCAAGAGCATAAATAGAACTTAAAAAAACTAAAGAAACAAACAAGCAAATAAAAACCTATTCAGCACTAAATGCATTCTCATCCACTCCGTCCCCTACTCCCTAAGTTGTCATCACTACATAAATTCTGATAAATCGTGGTTTAAAAACAAAAGGGTTTCTCCATAACTATCAGTTGTTACACAGCACAGCAAGCTTGCAGCTATAACCCAGGAGGGGAATGCCAGAAACTTACTTGAATACCTAGACACAAGCTCAGAAGACTGGCAGAAGTTTGCACTCCACGAATTTACTCAGCAGTTATACTTGAAACTGGGCATGAAATAGAATTCCAGAACTGAAAGCTATCTCTAGTATTAGTTGATCTGATTATTCTTAACTTTGTTTTTGCCTCTAGAAAAATCCCTTCAAGTGAATTCAATTTTCAAAAACAGATAAAAGCAAGGTGGCTTTAATGAAAAGGTGGGACGAGGGGAAGAGAGCGCCACCCCCTTCTGCTCCTCCCCTCACCTGGACAGGGTGTTCCATGATTCTTTCTAAAGGCTTTGTGAAGCACAATTTTTAGGTGACTACACAGGGCAATCGCGTTTTACAGTCACAGTAATAAGGTTTCCAGAAAGCAAAAGACTTTCTGGAGTGTGTTTCTTCAGGCTAAACTTTTGCTTAAGACGTTTTTAAAATCATCAGTTCAGTAATAGGTAACCTTGAACATATCTTATTGGAAGAAGTTTAAACTGAAAGTAGAAAAACAACTCACTTCCTGGCCGGGCGCAGCGGCTCACGCCTGTAATCCCAACACTTTGGGAGGTCGAGGCAGGTGGATCACCTGAGGTCAGGAGTTCGAGACCAGCCTGGCCAACATGGAGAAACCCCGTCTCTACCAAAAATACAAAAATTAGCTGGCTGTGGTGGCAGGCGCCTGTAATCCCAGCTACTCGGGAGGCTGAAGTTGGAGAATCGCTTGAACCCAGGAGGCAGAGGTTGCAGTGAGTCGAAATAGCGCCACTGCACTCCAGCCTGGGCAACAGAGCCAGACTCCGTCAAAAAAAAAAAAAAAAAAAAAGGAAAAAAAAAAGAAAAAGAAAGAAGGAAAGAAGGAAAGAAAGAAAGAAAGAGAAAGAAAGAAAGAAAGAAAGAGAAAGAAAGAGAGAGAGAGAGAAAGAAAGAAAGAAAGAAAGAAAGAAAGAAAGAAAGAAAGAAAGAAAGAAAGAAAAAAGAAAGAAAGAAAAACAAGCCACCTCCTCACTGAGGTTACCTGCATCTCTGCCCAATTGTGATACATAGACAGGTATGTTTAAAGGTTGGGTCAATGCTGATGTTAGCACACAGATACAGAGAAGGACCCTACAGATCAGAAAATGTGACTGCTTGTCCTGGGTCTGTCAGCAATGAGTGGTGTGAGCCTTCATGGGTTATTTAGCCCTTTTCCTTCTGTCTTCTCTCACGATTTGTTCTCTGACCACAAAAATGAACACATGTGCATTGTTATTAACTTGAAATTATTAATGGATATAAGGAAAATAAAAAGATCAATACTGTTAATATTTTGGTGTGTTTTTCTTCATTCATCAAAGTTTATGTGCATGTGTGCATACGTGTATATTTAAATAAAGTTGGGACTTACTTCTGTAATGTTGTTATTATCTTGCCATATGTTTTACTTAATATGAAAACTATATTTCCATGTCATTAAGTATTCTCTGAAAACACAATTTTAATACATTTTAGTAGTAAGATAGAATCTCAAACAGTCGACATGCCCCAAATTATTAAATCATTGTCATTTGGGGTAACGAAGAAATTTTTCTTTCTTAGCATTTATTTATATAAATTCTGTAGAAAACATCCTCATAAATAAAATTTGTTCACTCTATGTTAATTTCTTCTGAAGGTACACCTAGAATCATTACATTAGTGTGAAAGACATAACCATGTTTAATACTATTTATTCATATTGCCAATTACCCTGGAAAATCCTTAATACAGCACTATAATCTCCTTTTAAGTCTTTCCTTTTAAAATAATTTAATAGAGCACTGCTCTATTAATTTAATGTAATTTTTGATGATTAATCCGGATTGGCTTTTTATCATATCTTTATCAGTGGCTTGTGCTTCTTTTGTTAATTGTTTTCTTGACCTTATCCCCATTTTTCTAACAGATTATTTTACTTTTTTGTTTTCATTAAGGAAGCTCATTTTAAGTTAATTATTTTGATGTTAACCCTTTAAGTTTCAACTACTGACACTTTAACATGGGATAATCACATCAGACTTGCCTTTCTCACAGGGATTGCATGGACTAAATGAGAAAAGTACATTAAAATGCTACATAAACACCGTTAAATAAAAATATTAAGTAAAAATAATCCAAAATCATTAATCATGTCATAATAGCACTAACAGTTGCTACTTATTGAATGAGTTCTGTAGATATGGTGGTGCTACGTGTTATACATACACTAGCTATTTAAGAGCTCTGTAAAATAGGAATTATATTCTCAGTTTCTAGAGGAGGAAACGGGATTAGCAAGAATAAATAAGTTACCCATGGTTATACAACTAGCATGTTGTGGAGCCAGGATTTAAATCTAGGAGTCATTGACTTCAATTCCTGTATTCTTACTCACTGTTGTAATAAACCCAACCATAAGCTCCTTAACAACATTCTAGGATGTCCACAGGAAGGGACTTCCAGGGAAGCCTACAGGAACCATTACAACTGTATCTTTAGGTCCTGATCACCAAACTTCATCTAATAGTCCAAAAAACCCCTCTTCTCTCCCTTCCCTCCTCCATGAAAATGAAAATTCTGCAGTAAGGCTAACAAAGAAAAAATAGGCAGCAGGGTGTGGGGGAAACAGACGTATCTAATAATAATATTATATCCTGAATAGTCCTGAGAGAGTTTCTGAAATTATTTTTATTTTGTACCAGGCATAAAAAACATATAAAATCAACAGGGAAGAAAAGAGTTCATCGTATTTGAAACATCTCTGAGCTTGAAGGGTTTTAATCTTTTCCCCACCATTGAAATCAAGCCTTGAAAGGCCTCCAACAGCCATAAAGATAGGCTCCAGATGTGCGGAATCCTGGGAGCCGTGCGAATCTCCTGGTTCCCAAGCCCAGGTTCTGCAGAGAGGGGCCCTCGGCCATTCCAGGGAAGTGAAAATTAGAGCCACAACTGACGTGTTCATATTACACTGTCTCATGGTTTCTCCTTGTTTCCTTCTACGGTCATGAGAAGGCAGAATGCAGAAGCTGAAAACCAGTGGTCCAAATGCTGTGTTTCAGAGACGATTGTTTAGATTGTGGCTATTCGAGGAAGTGAATGTACATTTGGAATTCTATCTTAATCTTTGTACTTATACTGCCTTTAATTAGAAGGTTAAAGATTTCACGTTTAAGTATCACTCAGTGAGATGGGTATAGAAGTCTGTCTTCCGGATAGACTCAGAGAAGGCAAATGACTTGAGCACTGGCAGGAGGTGAGGTATGTGGCGGTGCCTGAGTTAACCTGGAAGCTGGGACAGAGCCCTGGGCCTCATTTGGGTCCTCGGTTCCGTGGTTGAGTCAAGACTTGAAAGGCAGGAAAAGAGTTGCTCAATTTTCAGCAACCGGCAAGTCCAGGCCATTGTGTGTAAATTCCAATTTTGTAAATCTAAATTATGTAAATCAACGCCATTTTAAATAAGTTCAGAAACTCGCTTTCATATTCATTCACTGGTTCATCAAACCTTTATTAAGCACTTGCAATATGCTTATACTTTCTATGATTCTGTTTGCAAATTTAGAAACGTATGTAAAACTCCTCAAGTGTTCATATGGATTGTCTAGAACACTTCTAGAAACTTCTTCTAAAGAAATGTCAGCAATGCACCTGAAGAGCGATTACAAGGTTCAAAGCATTATTTATTTTACAATAAAAATGTTACTTAAAAATAAATAACATCACACATTCTAAATTACCAAGTTATTTAATTGCTACCATGTTAAATGAAATCAGTGACTCACTGACTAAATTGCTAACCTTTGAACTAGTAGGGTGTCATTGATAGCAGAGAATTTGTCAATTTTGTGTTCTTTTGAGCCTGTGGAGAATGGGGCCATAGTTAATTATTCTCCCTAGAGACAAAAGTAGTATTGACTTTACTGAGAAATATTTGTATATGTTCCTTTAATTCTCGTAAAATTGGGACTATTTTTCTCAATTTAGTTTTTACTTCTTTCTCGACCAGGGACATCTGTGTTTCTAAAGAACCCTAAATTTTTATATAGCCTATCCCTCATTTAGAAACACAACCCAACATCAATAAAATAAATGCCAATTTGTCTCAATATTGTACTTTTATTTTATTTTACCAATTGGCAAAGATACATTTCTCATAAAATACTTTGGTGGAAAAAAATTATAGAAATCTCTTTATTACATTTAAGATTTTTCAGGATTTAATTTCTTTCAGGATTAAAGAAAGGAAATAAAATCTAAATTTCAACTATTTTTGCTCTCATCATTTTACTAGGGGAACAAAATATTGCTTTGTAAAAACATCAGGGAAAGTTCCATGTAGTGAAATCTGCACTAAAGTTAATACATCTTAGTTGAAACTGTAATAGCTGTTTACAATTATTCTGTAAAATATCTTCAAAACCTCTTTGGAAGGCCAATTTTCAGATTTTTTTCCTTTTTAATTTTTTACTCTTATTTTTAAAAGATTTTTTAGAATTTGACACTAAGGGCTGGAGTAAAATTTTCAGATATTTTTTAACCAACTTTTTTCTGGGGGTAAAAAAACTCATAAAATGATTAATCTTCATATGCCGATATCTGGGTTTGACATTCGTTTTACTCACAGCAAATCAGAATTGTGCTGCAAGTGCCTGTCCTGGACTTCCCACCCCGTCTCTAAGAATCCCTGGTTTAGAAGCAGGCATTGCCCTTTCTCACAGCATCTGAACTCTGCTCCCTGCCTGTGGTGCTTGGAAACCCGGAGTCTTCAAGTCTTCAGTCCCTTCTTGTGCTGCTGGGGACCTCACAGACCCTCTCACTTACCTGCATGCCTCCTGCAGCTGGAACCATCCAAATTTTTTTATTCTAGGAAAACTTCAGTTTGCCCCATAAGTCCAAGGAACTCTCCACAGACACTTACATGCAAACGTATATAAACACACACCTGTATACATACAGGCACATGCATGTGCACATATACACACACATTCATGCTCTTTCACACATAGGTATACACATGCACACCCATACAGACGCACACATATGGGCGCATACTTGTGCATGCATGCACACACCTATGTACACATCCATGCCCCCTCACACACAGCACACACAGGCACACACATACAGGCACACACGTGCAAATACATGCACACACATACAGGCGCACACGTGTGCACACACATACAGGCACACATGTGCACACAGCTAATACTGCACAGGAAACCTCTTCCACATCTAGTATTTTACCAGAGGAAATATTTTATGGGCTGTCTGATTTGAAATTCAGAATTGTGTCAATACAGAAATAATATAATAAATAATGAGTTCTGCAAAACTCTCTGGGGCAAATGCTGCTTTGAGACATGTTAGAACACTTAGTGAATAGTTTACACTACTTTTCTGTGCATCAAAACACCCAACAGTGGACTCCAGGTCTTAGCAACATGATGACCATTGGTCTTATTCTGCATAAGAATTAATCTCAATATAGAGAAGCCTTTATGTACTGTGGGTACCAGATTTAGATGATTACTTTTTAAAAGGCCGTTTTCTGCTTTAGGATGTGTTAGAAATCCTAAGCCTCTTTTAATGGACGGATGAGAAGTAGACGAGGCTTCAGCTCACGTCCCACTCAAATCACACTCCATCCCAATTCTCAAATGAGTGCCTCAGCCAGGTAGCTGCACCCATCTGGCCCTCGTCTTCTCACCTCTGAAATGGGAACAACATGGAAACGCGCATGGCAGGATAATCTCTCTGAAAGGCCGTCAAGAGATGCAATGCCCCTAAGAGGGAGAGACTGTTCTCAAGGAGCTTCTGCCTGTGTGCTTCTAGGCTGCTGTACACACAACCTGTGTTCTACTGCAACACACCTGTCTGCTAAAGAGACGGAAAGGAGTTATGGTCTGTCCGGAGCGTCATGTATGAATAAATCAGGTGTTGTGAAGACGCCAATGCTGGATTTAACTTTGCCACTCATTAACCCATCTCCTTAGCTGGACCCCCTGTGTGTCCTGGAGAGTTCCCCAAACCATCCATTGAGATGCCCAGCTGACTCACAGAGCCCTTTAGCATTTGCAGAGAGAGTTATTATTGCTAATAGGACGATAGCTATTTAGATGGGAAGGTGGAAGTAGCTGAATGCCCAGATCACAGAGAGCAAGGTCCACTACACAATAATTGCTTTTCCGGTACAGGTACCCTAGACCGAAGGCTGTACCTATCAGAAGATCTTGGGGGATGACTCTGTAGTTCTCTAAAACGGTGATGACATACCAATCTTTGGTTTGCTAAGATTTCCAGGGGATGAGGGGGGGCAAAGAATTGCAAATCGCAGTGACTTGCAATTCAAGAAGCAATGTCAGCGTGCAAGCAAAGTGATGATGAATTTCACAGCTGCTACCTCTGCAGCCCTCAGATCGAACCTCCTCAGGACTCCAGAGGTTGGAGGAATAGCCTCACTCCCCAAAGGGTTCAGTATACCCATGCTGTGGTTCCTGCTTTAAAACAACTAAAAGGAGGGGGCAAGTAACACAATTGTGTGTAATAATAGCAGCCAGAATTTACCGATTGCACACCCTGCGTCAAGCCCTGTGGTAAATTCCTTGCAGACACAAATATTTACCATTACAAAATCTCTAGAAATATTTTCACCTGCGTTTCATGGATGAGAAAACTGAGAGTGGAGCTTAGAGAAATAAATATATATAAAATATCTCTTTATGAACACAGATTCACCTGGCTGCAATGCTCAGGTGATTTCATTCTTATGACAAATGGTAAGACATTATTTGAATTTTCAAACGACTTCTTTAATTAGGCACCTATTTACTTGCTTCCTTTTGCTTATTTTTTCTGTGTGGATCTGAATATCTTCCTTACTGGTCCAGACTGGGGCCAGGGGCAAGCTTAGCAGGGAAGATGATTCTCCTGTCCCGAGTTCCGCAGGCTGGCTAGGATGGGGGCTCTCCTTCTCGGACCTGGGGACGCCTGCCTAAAGCCATGCCTGCTATCAGGACCATGAGTCAGGAGAGAGATGGAAGCCACAGAAATGCCACAATGGTCTCTCTGCCTGTCTGTCTCTCCTTTTCTTCCTTCCTCCCACCCTCACCCCCAAATATATAACTAAAATCAGTGGGAACTGCTAGAATATTTCTGCATGGTAATAACGCAATGAAGTATTATATTTTTAAGTATTAAAGGTTCGTACCCTTTGGACCAGAATTTCTATTTCATTTTAAGAAAACCGTGATACAAAGCAGGCAAAGATACACATTCAAGAAATCATCCTGACATTGCTTACAAGAACACTAACTGTGAATGCAACATGTGTGCCCAATAATCAGGGTATTGTTAAATCATTGCCTTGCATCCATGCATTGGTAAATTATGCAACCATTAAAATAGTTCTAAGAGCAATGTCTATTGATGTGGGAAAATATTTTTGCTTACTAAAAGAAAGCTTGAAAACGGAGTGAATAAAATAAGTTTGGTCCTATAAAGTAAATATGCACATGGAAATGAGCAGAGTGGGGTTCTGTGGAGTGGGATTATAGACGTGCGTGTGTCTTCTGTGTGTGTGCATGCGTACTTCTCTCAGTTTTCTATGCTTTTAGAACTGAGCATGAATACTTCAAATAAATAAAAACCAGCAGGCTCCGTTCATTCTCTCTTACTGCTGTAACAAATTACCACTATTATTTGGCTTTAAACAACGTGAACGTGTTATCTTACGGTTTTGGAGGCCAGAGGTCCAACAGGACCCTCACTGAGCTAAATTCAAGGTGTCCACAGGACTGTCCTCCCTTCTGGGATCTCCAGTGGGGGCTGTTTCCGGGCTTCTCCAAGCTTCCAGAGGCCGCCTCAATCCCTTGCACCATGGCTTCTCCCTCCATCCTAAAGCCAGCAGAGTTGCAGCTCTCTGACCCTTCTTCCGTCATCACATCTTTTCCTGGACACCGTTGGGAAAAGCTCCTTGATTTTTACAGCGGGGAAAGGTTCCCTGATTTTTAGGGCTCATGATTACCTTGGGCTGACGGGGATAATGAAGGATAACCTCCCATCTGAAGGTTCTTAATTTAATCCCATCTGGAGGTTCCAGGGATTAGAAAGTGGATATTTTTGGGAATCTTCATGTTGCCTCCCAGACAGATGTTGCCTTTCAACAAGTGAGCTTACTTTTCTTGTGCTATTCATTCTACTATGTGAATTGATCATTTCTGCTTCACATGCTTTTCTTTTGGTTTTTTAACAACTTGGTCTCCTTTGTATTTGAATGGACACCTTGATTTTAGCTCAGTGAGACCCTTGTAGGACCTCTGGCCTCCAGAACTGTAAGACAGTAAGTTTGTGTTGTTTTAAGCCACATATTAGTTTCTCTAATACCCCAAATTTTGACTTATTATCAATTTAAGTATAATATCATCCCCTCCCAATTTATTCGGTTTTCTTCATTGGAGAGTTTCTCGACCTATCTTGAGCATCCTTTGACACCGCTGCGCATCTTCTGTCTGCTCATTTCTCTGGCCCGGGCTCTCTCTTACATCCTCAGTTGTGTCCAGTGGACTATTCTTCACACCTATTAACTTTTTTTTTTTTTTTTTAAACAGAGTTTCACTCTTGTTGCCCAGGCTGGAGTTCAGTGGTGTGATCTCGGCTCACTGCAACCTCTACCTCCCGGGTTTAAGCGATTCTCCTGCCTCAACCTCCCCAGTAACTGGGTCTACAGGGACCCGCTCTCATGCCCGGCTAATTTTTGTAGTTTTAGTAGAGACGGGGTTTCACCATGCTGGCCAGGCTGGTCTCGAACTCCTGACCTCAGGTGATCCACCCGCCTCAGCCTCCCAAAGTGCTGGGATTACAGGCATGAGCCACTACACCCAGCCATGCCTATTGACTTTTTAAAACCAAAATTGTTTTATTTTTAATTTACAACACTTTCAGTGGATTCTTTTTCATTGTTGCTTCTTCTTACAGTTGTTTAATGGATGCCCTGTGTCACTTGAATAGTTCGTCCATACTTGCTTGAACATCTTTTTCAAGTTTCTCGGTTGTCTCTTTCCTGTGGTTTTGATGTTCCTATTAATGCACGGGTCCCTGCTCATGGCTATGAAATGGCCTGTCTGCATTGCCCCCTTGGTGGGTACCACTTTGGATGAATATTTTCTCTCATATTAGTGAGCCTTCTTCTCAGAGGGTCGTGATTTTTTCCAACCTCCTTGGGAATATGGCCCTAACTCAGTTCTGGCAGCAGCTGGAGGCTCCTGGTTTCCAGTATGCATGCCCATTGATAAATGCAGCTGCTTTCTCCTTTCTCCAAAAGCTCGTGGTTTTTTTGGCTACAACCTCAGAAAACTAGGCAGGGACAGTTCTCTTCTGATGTTGGCAAGGATGAAGGTCTCAACCAGCAGCTGTACCTCAGAAATTCAATTCCAGCTCCTTTCCAGACCTGTGCATTGTGCAAAAGAGTTGCATTCCTGAGCCCGACTGCCCTGATTGGTTCCAGGTGACCATGAGCCCTTAGCTGCATTGTCCGCCTCTCTACTTCTGCTCCACTGACACCATCCTCTTGTGTTGGAGGGCAGCTATGTTCTTATAAGGATTGTCTCTCATGATTGCATATATATTCTATATATAGTGGATATTCTATAACTACAACAAAGTTATCAAAATATTAAAATATATT
Source organism: Homo sapiens (assembly GCF_000001405.40). Lineage (NCBI taxonomy): Eukaryota > Metazoa > Chordata > Mammalia > Primates > Hominidae > Homo > Homo sapiens. Next base: position 3,589,229 of record NC_000010.11, on the reverse strand, counting down.
AAATGAACATTAAGTTAAAACCAAATAAAGTACAAGGCAATATGTTATTATAATAATAAACTCTAATATGCACGAAGCAATGACTGTGTCAAGGCATCTTCCAAGTCCTTTCTATGAATTAAGTCATGTAGTTCTCGCGAGGATCCCATGGATTATGTGCTGATATTATCCCCATCTTGCAAGTGAGAGAATGGAATGCAGAGAGCGGAAGCAAGCCTCCCAGGGCTGCACAGAAAGGGGGTGGACACGCCCATCTCCCTGCCACTGCATTGGTTGTCTCCTCTACTCATACGTGCAGGGAGGATAAAGACCAGCATCTTAAGAGATTCACTCTGGGTAGTGGGAATAGAGGTTTCTAAATTTCCTACAGTGAACCCTTAACGCTTTTGCAATGATAAAAAATAGTAAGAAAATATTTTTAATATGCCTTCAAAATGCAAGCAAGACCTTCTTTTAGTAACATTCATTGTTAGATAACATTAGCCAAAATAGAGCCAGCAAAGGGCCAGATTGCCTGCAATGGGTAGGCAAACTGACAATGGAGTGGAGGGAAGGAAAGAAGAAGAAATGGTACATGAACCGGAGACACGGATGATTTCCTTTGCTCTAACTCCAGGCTCAGAATCCTCTCGGAGGTGTCTGGCCCGCCCTCCTTATCTGGTACATGCTCTCTGATGTACGGTTAAGTAATCACCTTTCTATGTATTTTAGCTCCAAAGAGTTCCGTTTCTATGGCAATGGATGCTGTTTGAAATGTAGAGACAGGCCACTCTGTATTCTCGGTAGCTGCAATACTTCTAATTCTTGTGATACTTTACTCATTAAAATTCATGTGAAATACCATAATCTCATGCCTTCAGTGTGCTATGAGAGGAAAAGAGAGGAAAGTCATATGAACACAGAATATGCAGCATGAAAAAGTCACAGGGGAATGCAGGGAAAAGGTGGGAAAATGGGTTCTCGAGATAAGGGTGGGGTGTGGAAGATGAGAACCCTGTCCGAGAGCCTGCGTCCACGTCTGGCCACAGCAGGAGGGGCAGCCATGAGTCCTGCACTCTCCAATCTGCCCACAACCCTGGGGTGACCCAGAGAGTCCTGCACCAATGCAGGTGGAGCCCACCGTAGAGACTCGGCCATGAGCGACCAGCACAACCTTGAATAAAATCCCACCTGAGATTCAGGGTTCCACTATCATTGTAATACAGAATGTGTTACATGAGACACCTTTTATAGGTATAAAAACGCATAACCTACCTATGTACAAGGACAAATCACACGTTACGTTTAATTCATCCCCTCTATGGTCCTCACCCAGCCATCTCTCCCTTTGCACTCTCTGCCCCTTTTCGCTGGCCCCTATGAGAATTTTTAGCCAAGATTTTACATCAGAGGTTAAACCTCCTGCTCTTCCAAAATAGACAACATGATCCTTTAACATCAGAAGTAAAAGCAACTCTAAAGTAATCATGCATAGGACTTTCTTCTTTAAAATCCTATTCATTAGAGAGAATGCGAGCATATCTTTCCCAAGACTTGCAAAGAAGGGCAGAATTTATCCAATTTTCTTATTTCTTCCAATTTAAAAAATTTTAATTATATTATTTCAGAGACAGGGTCTTGCTATGTTGCCCTGGCTGGCCTCAAACTCCTGGGCTCAAGTGATTCTCCTGCCTCAACGTCCCAATGTGCTGGGATTACAGGCAGGAGCCACCACACCTGACCTCTGATTTTTTTTTTTTTTAAATTGTGCTTTCCTTATTCAAAACGTACAGAATTTCAATGTCATGATCTTGATTTTCATCAAACGGACACAAAGGTGTGCATTTGTATGGCAGAAATCTGTGCATCCCAGATTTTTTTTTAAACTGTGCTTTCCTTATTCAAAACATACAGAATTTCAGTGTCATGATCTTGATTTTCATCAAATGGACACAAAGGTGTGCATTTGTATGGCAGAAATTTGTGCACCCCATGGAGAACTGCGTAAAAAAAGAAGAGACATTTCTGCTCAAAGCAACAGGCATCAGCGATTTTCGAGGACTATAGGGCTGGGAAGAGAAATAATATGTTTAGAAGAGTCACAGATTAATAAGTCATAATACTAGTAACCCTCAAGGATGATGCACTCTAATTACATCTGCAGCACGGATCGCCAGCAAGACAAGCAGAAGACGTTTCAAGTCCTCATCTTTCTGAAGTTCTCATTATGGTTTCCAAAGAGGCCTTCCAATCTGTCAGATTTATCTAAGACAACTCAGAAGTTGATTTTCATGTTGCTATAAATGATTTTTACAGTTGTCATAAACTCAGAAACGTAAGATGCTGCATAGAGAACTGTGCGGGTTCTAATTAAGGTGTTCCACAGAGTGATTTTAAATAAATGCCAGTTTCTATATCATTGCTTTCTTTCTTTGATTTCTTTTCCCTAAGAAAAAAAGGGGTACATGTGACAAGGTGCTCATGCGTGTTTTCAAAAATCGAGAAAAAAATATGGCTTTGCTAGATTTGACATAGACTGAATAAATAAATTCAGAGGCAATTAAAAGGAATGTCACTGTTCCTTATAAAAATGACGTGAACAGAAAATATGCAGGGAGCTGCACAGAGGCATTCGGGTCGCTATTTTAGTATCTATAATTTTTTGGCACCAAACCTGGAACTTTGCTAGATCATCATTTGCAATGATAAACGGTGAGCCTATCTTAGACTCTCCAGAAGGCATTTTTATATTCTGAAGTGTGATAGGGGCTATTTTTTTTTTAAGGAGTTCATAGCCAGCCCTGTGAAGTCTCAGTCTGAGGATGACAGCGTTACCAATGTCTCTGGAAATCCTGTGTTCTTTTTCTCCATTCACAGTATCCCAATAGGTGGCCAATCGGCCATAACATAAATAATTGTGGTGATCTGGGATTTTGAAGAGCTCAATTCCTTAAGAAATGTTCTCATTTGTATTAACTCAAGTAATTTTCCCTTTGTGTAGTCCTGACGAATGGGTCCAGGTGAGGTTATTAGGAGGAGCACAAGTCACTGCAGCCTGACTCCTCACACATGTTAGCTCACGTCTCAGGAGAAACGCTCCCATGGCGTTGTGGAGCCCAACACCTATTTCTACATTAGGATAAGAAATGATCCCGGGCGCGGTAGCTCATGCCTGTAATCCCAGCACTTTGGGAGGCCGAGTGGGGTGGATCACCTGAGGTCAGGAGTTCGAGACCAGCCTGGCCAACATGGTGAAACCCCGCCTCTACTAAAAATACAAAAAATTAGCTGGGTATGTTTGTGCCTGTAATCCCAGCCACTCAGGAGGCTGAGGCGGGAGAATCTCTTGAATCTGAAAGGCAGAGCTTGCAGTGAGTTGAGATCACACCATTGCACTCCAGCCTGGGTGACAGAGCGAGACTCCATCTCAAAAATAAAAAATAAAATCAAAAGAAAAAAGAATACGGAAACGGAGGTGGCCACGGAGTGTGCAGTTGCACCTTACGCTCTGACTGCAAACTTGCTTCTTCCAGTGGAGAAGCAGACGCCGACGCTGCATCACAGTGGACAGTGGCCTTGGCCTTGCTGGCCCGGCCGGGACTCCAGGGAGCTCTTCCTGTCTGCGGGTCTCACCAGCTCCTTCCTCGCCCACAGCGTGCTCTCTGCTTCGTGCCAGTGAAGTCCGTGGGCTGCCGGTTGCTGTCCTGGCCTCGCTGCTCTGTGTGGACGGTTTCGCTTCAGTGACATTCTGCAGAGGGGGGTGTTGGAATGATCTTTAGCCCAGAGATCTTACAAGGAAAGAAAATACATTCACACAAGCTGTTGGATTCTAATAAAAATGAGTGCCACATTCTTTATTTTATTTCTCCCTCCAGGAAGATGAACATCTCACCACATATGTCATAATGTGACTTTGTCCTCCATCCTTTGTTTGAAACCATTTGGAAGACAAATAGGGTGAGCTGCTACCAATACTCATTTTATGAAATGGATGTGTACACTTAAAGAAGGAATCTATGTAATAAAAATAGCCACCGTTCTGGGAACCAGAGAAACCAGGTTCTTGTCATAACCCTTGGGCTATTGTCTTTCTAAATGACCCCGGGCAGGTCACAGAATTCCCAAGTCTGAATTTTCTTGTTGATGAAATTACAAGGGTTGGATGAAATGATGGCTATCTTTCTTTCCCGCTGTCACATTTCTCAATTCCACTCTTTCGTTGGGCTTATCTGGTATGGAACATCCCACTAGATGACATGAGGTCATTAAAAGGGAAGGGAAGCCTGAAACAGTGTGGAGCTTACGATTTAATTGAAGAAAAGAAACAGGCACATATGAAAAATACAGCAGCAAGAGTGCCAAGTCCACCACAGACAAGACCTTGAGAAGAGCGTTTGGAGTTGGACCTCGACGGGTGGCTCTGGCTGTGCAGAAGTGGGAGGCAGGCCTGAGACGCCTTCTTAGTAGACGGGGGCTGGAGGGGAGAAGGACTCCTGGGAGTCTCGTGTTTTGAAACTGCTTCTCTCAAGAAACCATGAAGCCCATTCTCTTTCGTGTAGTGAATCATAGACATAGGACCCAGCTACAAACCTAACTAGAAATACAAACATACATACAGAAATATAAATATTAATATTTTCATAGATATAAAGAAATGTTGAACATATAAATACAGGTATCAACACACATGGAAATCAGAATAGAAACGGAAATGTTTATGCACGCGTTCTGCTGCTGTGACCCGTTCCGGGACGGTCTTGGGCCATACAGGAGAGCAGAAAGCCCAGGTGTGTCTGCCCTCGGGAGGGGCTGGGGGACTGAAAAGGTCTGTTGGGGAACATTGCGTGTAGACATGGATATTACAGAGACAGACTCATAATGAACAGAGTGGGGACCGGAGGGACAGGCAGGAGGTGGCAGGAGCACAGAGGACCCCTGCAGGATGCAAGTTCTGGTGTTTAACGTGGAAGAAATAATATGCTTCACAGAAGACCCACAGTCCTTCAGAAACCTTAGTGTGGAGCAACCCGTCGTTATAAACCACTGAATTTGGAAACTAATCTCTCCAGGACAGAGCTACTAATACGTCCTCTAAACAGATGCAGTGCAAGCCTGTGTGGGGACCGCAGCAGGACCAGGCCAACCACGCTGCAGGGAAGGGCTTTCCTCGTGTCCACGTACAGAGGGGACTTCTCTGAATGGGAGCCAGTGACTCACATGCCCATGATCCCTGGCCTGGGGGGCTCAGGAGACCTCAGTGTACGATATGCTGGTTTTCCCTCTTTTAAATGGGTACCCGCATTTTGTGCCACTTCTTGAAGTCACGCTGTTGAAGTAAACAATGACAAACCCATTTGTAATGAGCAAAGGGGATTCTACAGGTGGAGTCTAGGTGATGTTAGTACACTGGACGTTCAACGCTGGGGGGCCTCAGGCAGACAGCTGCCTTCTGGAGTGGGGTTTTGGCTACTCATCAGGTGGCTGTGGCTTTGTGGGGCTTCACAGGTTTTCTGACCGCCAACATGAGGCTGGAAAGTTTCTGAAAATGACCACATGTGACTTGACATCGTGTTCTGTGCCCTGCTCATTCTGCCTTTTGTCTACGGCATTCATTCCTCTCAGGTTGGTTCTTTGTCTCTCAATTTTCTTTGATTTCACCCAACCCAAGGAGCTTATTTTCAAAATCCTTCTGAAGAGGTGATTCTTTTTTCTTTCTTATTCTGATTTTTTTTATGAGAGAAGAATGAAATACAATTTCTCTGTCTTAATCCTATGTTTTCTCCTTTCCAAATGATAATTGGTATACCATGAGGACTCTTCTAGAACCATAAAATATTCAAAAGCATTTTGAAAACCAGTTTCTATCTTCGAGAAACATCTCATCTGGTAGATAACGTAAAGAAATATGGCTTGGTAAATATTAAGTAGTAAATTTCTTCTAAAGAGTCCGTGGAAACACTGTCAACTTTATTGGTGAGTCTTCTGTGTTTAGGGGTATCTTATGTAGTTTGGACTTCCAACTGAATTGTATTTTCTCTATCAACCCAATTTTAACTGAGAAAGATTTATTAGTGAAGAATATAAAATTATGTCATTGAAGTGTAGAAGACAATTTAGAAAGGGAAGTTCCAAAATTATTCTCAATAATGACTGTCTTTAGGATAAGCAGGTTGCCTGCTGAGTGATTTTGAAGAAAATAAAATCAATCTGCAAATATAAATCATTGTAAGTTGAAAAAATAATTTATGTTATTTGAATATTATTATGAAAGGGGAAAGAAAGGAAGAGAGAAATGAAGGAAATAAGACATAGAGAGTAAGATGCAGAAGTTAAATGTCAAAATTAGAAAGTAGAACTATAATGTTCTTTAGACAAAAAATATTTCACCCATAATTTCCCTCGGAAATGCCTTTTCAATCTGATTATGCAACATTTTTTGTTCTAGGAAATTGAAGTTTTTTTTTCCACTTGTAGGAAAATTATTTGCAGAACCTTCAACAGAGTTGCTTATTGATGAATCCATCAGCTGTAGAGCTTCCCCCTTCAACTGTGGCCTGAAAGATGATGTTGGCTCACTTGAGGCACTGCTGGAAATTGCCGTGTGTTCAGGGTGGGCGTAGACCTCTGAACCAGAGAAGCTTTTATAGATTTAGAGAAACTTTGTGGGGTACAGACTAAATGGGGAGACTTCATCTTCTCATCAGAGCACTCTGGCAACCGGTATCTGTACCACCAGAACATTGTGTTTGCAGATTGAATGCCTGACGGTCTACAGGTTACTCCACCAGAGGCGGCACCTTCACACTCAGAGAATAAGGCACCCATGGGTCTGGTACCATGTGACCAGCACTGCTCTGTGTTGTAGAAAACAATTTGTTAAAGGGAATATTGAGACTCACACTGAGCCCAGCTTGGTCTTTGTGTCATTGAAGATGAAAAGAAACAGGAGATGGAGTTTTGGGCTGTAAGTAACTTTGAAGTGAATTGAGAAGATGTGAAATACATAATATAAATAATAATGAAATAGTTGATGAGTAAGTAGTGATGTGCATAGGCCAGCCCATGATAACAAAGCACTGGTGCTGGCCGTGTTGTCCAGGGCTGTGATGGAAGCTGAATGAAAGAAAAGAGATTGGACATGGTCTTTAGAGATTAGCCAGGATTTGGGTAAACTGAGGGGACGGCAAATGAAGAGAAGCAGGTTCAGCAGCCCCAAGGATGATTGAGCAAGCCAGGGGCTCACATCGCATCAGCTGGAATCCAGAATGCTTCATAGAGACCCAGTTGTCAAGGGCTAAACCAAGAGGATAAACCAAGAACTTGGAATTTTCCATTAGCAGTGGAAAGCTCTAGGAAATCATTCTCCAAAATTGTAGGAGGACTATTTCCAATGTACCGATTTCATTACCTGGCAACCTCACTTCTAATCATTCCTTGTCAGAAATTGGTAATCTGGGGAAACGTGGTGGACATGCTGTTTACGAAAAAGTGAATCTGGTCTCTTCTAAAGAATGGATGTGTGAGCAGAAAAACGGGATGTATGGAGCCAATTAGCTCACCAGACTTAGACCACTGAGTTCTGACATCCCAGGCTGGGGAACTAAAAACATCTGTTGGGAAATATCGTATGTCTACATGAATATTGACAGAGATAGACTCATACCAGAGTGGGGACCTGGTCGTCTGTTATGAGTCTAACTCTGTCAATATTCCTGTATACATATAAGCATCCAGTGATTCATACGAGTGCTGGGGACCTGGTCATCTCCACTCTGGTCGCTATGAGTTTATCTCATATATTTGAAAACTGAGCAGAGTTTCCAAATTCAGTGATTTGGAAGCGGCACAGAACAGAACTTGTAGGAAGACAAGAGTTTAGGGCTTAGGGACTAAAGAGCCATGGAGGATAAAAGAGAGAAAGAAACAAATAGACTCTGACTTTTCCTCTCAGAGGAATAACTTACTTTGGATGCAAAGAGGATCAAAAAAGAAACTTCCAGCCAACATGTCTATCTTTTCTTATAATCTAGTCCAACAAAGTTTAATAGGAATATATTTCTATTTTCTATGATATTCAGCAATATGATATAAAATTTTAAATGTACTGGTTACCACATTAAAATAATTTAAAAGACAGACTTTAATATTTTATTTAACCCTATATATGATAATATATAAATATTATCATTTTAACAGGTAGTCAACATAAACAATTATTTATGAGATACTTTCGATGCTTTTTTTTCCATAGTAAGTCTTTGAGATCCAGCATGTATTTTAAGTTAATTGGAAGCTAATTGTTCTAGAGAATGGAAGTTGTTTTTCCTACTCTTAGGAAAATTATTTGCAGAACTTTCAACAGAGTTGCTTTGGCAAATTCATCAGATTTAGACCTCACAACTAAGACTGTGGCCTGAAGGACTTACTGCATATCTCGTTTCTTATCAGCCACGTGTCAAAGGCTCAATGACCCCACGTGGCAGTGGCTACCATATTGGAAGGAGCAGCTCTAGGCTTGGAATGAGCAATATCAGAAAGAGGTAAAACCTCTCCCTAGCATGCTCGTAGCATAGCCGTCTCAAAGACCAAACTATACAAGCAGTTGCCTGCGTGTGTGCATGCAAACGAGGGCTTTGATGCACATTGTGCGAGTGTGGTGTGCATGTGTGTGTGGACATAGTGTGCATACATGTAGTATACATGAGTGCATGAGTGCATGCGCACAAACCTGGCCACACGTGTGCCCTTGATTCATGAGAAGCCCTGAGTTCAAGAGTTCTAGGAAAGTGTTTCAGCAACATTCTTCAGAAAAGTGCTTTACTCTCATTTCCCAAATTTATCCCTGCCCTCTGCTTCTCAGAATCATGTTTTTGAGAAGAGAAGGCTATACGGGGGTTTTCCTGAAAGACTAATCCCTTTGCCCAGTTGGAGACCATCCCCTAAAATGCTTTGATCCAAATGCAGCTGATAGACTGTGGCTTCAGAAGACTTGGACAGCACAGTATTTAAAACAAAAACAGAAGCACAGCAACAGTGGCCTGGGTGTTTAGGCAGAGTTGGGTCCTCCACATTTCATTGCTTTCTTCTACCATCTCCTCCTGCTTGCATGACCAGCCTGCCTTTGATGGCAATTCTGCTGCTTCTCCTCTAGGTATTCAGAATAGATGCCTGATAAAAGCTGAACTAGCAGGGACAGAAAACCTAGCCCACAACTCTTTGATTCACTGGCTGACTGGCTTTTGTGGAGTTGCTTTCTGCCTTCGAACTCTCAACCCAGATGAACACATCCACTCTTAGGACGTTGTTGGTGACATTTAACACACTCCACCCTGCAGCCGAGGCAGAGACTTTTCTTTTGTCTGGATGCTAGAATTGCTGAGCTTCTTCAGGGCACATAATCAGGAAATGGAGAATAATTTCCTCTTCTATTTACAGCTTGCAAAGTCGGCCAGAAAACTGACAGCTAAATTTTATCCCACTTGCAGCTAATGCACATGTATGTTATTAATGCAGTTGTTTTCTGATAAACTCACTCTTCACTGTACTTCTCCAGGCTCACTCTTCTGTAGGAATTTCCTCAGGTACTTTTTAAATTTTATTTTGTTGTGCTATTTCTATTTAAGGTGCAGATTCTAGCTGTCTATTTAACTTTCTATCAACTATCTTTATTTACCTATCATCTATCTATCTATGTATCTATGTATCTATCTAACATCTATCACTATCTATCTATCTATTATCTATGTATCAATCTATCTACCTATCATCTATCTAATCTATTACCTATCTATGTATTTATCTATCTAGTCTATCACTATCATTTATCTCTGTTTACCTATTATCAATTACCTATCATGTATTAATCATCTATCTCTATTTACCTATTACCCAGCTATCTTTCTATGTATCTATTTCCATTTACCTATCATCTATATATCTCTATCCATTCATCTATCAATCATCTGTTACTATTTATTATCTATCTAATCTAACCCTATTTACCTATTATCTATCATCTACCTCTATTTACTTATTATCTGTCTATTGATATCTATCTATCATCTATCTCTATTTACCTATCATTTATGTCTATCTATCATCTATCTATATCTATCTCTATTTACCAATTATCTATCTAGCTAGGTAGCTATCATCTATCTATTACTATTTATCTATGATCTATCTGTCTACCTATGTATTTATCTAATCTATCTATCACTATCATTTATCTCTATTTACCTGTTATCCAGATATCTATGTATCTATTTCCACTATGTATCTATATCTATCTATCCATCCATCTATCAATCATGTCACTATTTATCTATTATCTATCTATCTCTATTTACCTATTATCTATCTATCATCTACCTCTATTTATCTATCTATCTATCAAATATCTATCTACCTACCTACCTGTCTATCCATCACCTCCCTCTCTCTCTCTCTCTCTTTCCATATACCCAAAAATCTCCAGGACACCACAGCTCCACAATCTGAGTTGTATGCACAAGGCAGCTACCATATTCTTGATTTACCTGGTGCTGAGCCACAGTTGCTTGGCTCAGAGTTGAGCCCTTGACTCAAGGCAGGGCCAGTGAGTCTTTCTCCAACAAGCTTTTAGACTTAGGATTCAGACCAATATCTCACCAGGGGTTGAGCTGTAATAGTATTAGTATATGCAATAGTACACTCAAATAATATTGCTGATAACAGAACGGTAATAGTGATAGTAGCACTAGACTAGTAACACAGGACAGCAATACTGGTGGTAACACTAGATAGTAACACAAACACAGTGACAGTGGTGGCGAGACAAGAAGTGTGAGGAGGTAAAAAAACACTCAAGCACTGTCAGCAGCCCTGCCCCCGCCACTCAAGAAGCCACTCTGGGAAGGAATGAGTGCAAGTCACTGTTGTGGGGGCAGGGAGAGAGGAGAGTTGGGGAGAAGTGCTGGTCCTGTTTCTGAGGTTGAGCTCAGTCTTGGCCTTTGCTGAAGTTTGGCTATTGGGTTTTGTTTTGGACTCTGTGAGACAACTGCCTCCTTTCCTAGCAGAGGCTTTTCACATGAAGTTAGTGACTGGTGGAAAGGTCTCAGCACTTACAACTAAAGAGTTACAGTCAACACACTGTTGTACAAATAACACAACCAAGACAAGTTAGGCAATTAATAGGTTCATAAACGTAATTCTTCTGGCAAGTTTCTCTCTTGATAAGCAGGCAAGACCCCACATCTGTCATTCCTTTTTTTTTTTTTTTTTTTTTGAGATGAAGTTTCACTCTTGTTGCCCAAGCTGGAGTGCAACGGCAAGGTCTTGGCTCACCGCAACCTCCACCTCCTGGGTTCAAGTGATCCTCCTGCCTCAGCCTCCCAAGTAGCTGGGATTACAGGTGCCTGCCTCCACGTCCAGCTAATTTTTGTATTTTTAGTAGAGACGGGTTTCACCATGTTGGCCAGGCTAGTCTCCAACTCCTGACCTCAGGGGATCAACCCACCTCAGCCTCCCAAAGTCTGGGATTACAGGTGTGAGCCACCGCGCCCAGCCTGTCATTCTTTCTGAACTAGTGCATGCTATGGATGAATTGTACCAGTTGTAGAATCTGATGGATGCAACGAGTTCTGAAATATTAAGAACACTGCATAAGTGCAGTGCCATTTGTTTGTGAAACAGATTCACTGGCATGAAACTCCATTTCAAATGGTCATCGTTTGTCTAGAATTGTCCTAGCCTTCTTATTTTTATACAGGGCTATTGCCTCAGGCCAGCACACAAAAACAATTGTGCATACTAATTCCCTGGGAAGGTACCCTATTGGAACTGACTCACAGCCAGTCATGTAATAATTCCACCATGACCTCTCGTCCCATCAACATTTGAACAGATTGTGTGTTCTCTCATTGACCAAGCGCCAGGTGAAACAAATGGCTTGCACTTAGAGGACGGTGCCATGCAAAGCACGAACATATATTTAGACACTAAACATGCAATAATTACAGTGAAATTCTTTTACTAGAGGGGGCATAATAACTGAAATGGGTGGAAGTTACTTGCATACTAAAAATGCCTCATTCTCACACTCACTCAGGATAAAAATTTCGAGCGGAATGCTGAAAAGAATTGGTGCACTGACTAAACTGTATAAATTGTCCTCTCGCTCTTGAGTAAAGTTGAATTGACATGAGTCGAAAGAACTTATACAATCCCATTATACAATTTTACTGTAAAACAATTACCACAGCATTTAATAATATTAAACCTATGTTTATTTTTTACATTTTCTTAATTTATTACTCCATTATGCTCATAGCATAGGCTATTAATACAATTTAGAAGTGAGCTTAATACTGCAATTGGATGAAGTTTTCATGTTCTTCTTTTTTAGTTACTGTAGCAATAAAGAAGAAGAAAACACCAGAGAGGTGTCAAAACGGTGAATGTCTGTCAGGTTAGAAAAGGAAAGACTCAAACTTCCAGGATAAAAAAAAAATTGATAAAATTACACTTCATTCTCATGAATTTTGTGATGTACTTTGAGTTTCAATTTCCAATTATATTCCCAAAGGCTTCTCTTTCATATGTTTGATAACATATAAGATTTCTGAAAAAAAAAATTTCTAGGATTCTTTTTCACCAGGCTTTTCCCTCATAAATTTGATACTTTTTGATATTATATCTATGCAATATAACAATAATTGAACAAAAACTTTTAATAGGGTAGCTAGAAATATACTTTTTTTTCCAGTATGCCAAATAACAGATTTCAAAAACTCCCCCAATACACTGATTATGTGACTCATACTTTGACCAATTTAATCTGTTTTTTTTGGTATATGTAAACAAAATCTTAGAAAACATTGGTAATACACTGAGGTTAATTCTGTTTAGACATATCTCCCCTCGAGTGACTCTGGTTTGATGCCTTAAACCACATACTTCCCAACTTTCAGTTGCCATTCATGTATATGCTACCATACTCAAAAAAAAAAAAAATCTTTGTATTCAAATGTCCTCTTTTCTATATTACCAACTTACCTCAGAATTACTTTTTTCCTCAACAAAACTACTAAACCAATTAAGCATAACTAATTGAAAAAAACATTCACAGGGTTAGAATCTGAAGTGGTCTCATATCTTTTCACATTTTATTAATTTGTTGCCTTCAGAATAAAAATTGACAGTCTTTATTTTCTAGTTCAAGAATTGCAGACATTCTTACAAATTTCCTGTCTTTAATAAGCAGGCTAAAATAACATCTTAACACACACATAATATCCTTTATAATTCATTCCTAAGTTTCTCAAGAAATGCTAGTCATGCACTTTGAATTTCAATAACTATCTGCCAACCAGCCACCATAGGTGGGACCCCTTCTTGGAGCTGGGGCTATTGAGGACATTGTTAAACACGTATTTCCTGTCTGTGCCCATGAACAATCACATCCTAATAGTTGCAGAGTTTCATAGAAAATACACTTTCTGAAACACTTTATTGTACTTTAATGTTATTTCTCTCTCTCCTACTAGACATGAGCTCTGTGAAGTCAAAAACCACCTTGCACCCAACCCAGTTTCTGTCATTTAGTAGAGATCAGCAAATGATTGATGGATGAATCGATGAATGAATGAATCTTTAAATCAAGATATGTTCTTACTGTACAGCCTAGAAGATCTAAACTCCCTGTAAAATTATCATTGCACAGCTAATATGCCTTGTAGTCCTTTTAAATCTCTTTCTTTTTGAACACTATTGCATTTATTTTATTGAGTCTGCTTTTGTTTTCTTAAAAGCTCAACTGAGAGTGAAAATGATACTATAGAATAGAAGTGGCTACAACCTGGTTAATTATTTGAAATTGAATTCTCCTTTAGGTATCATGATTTGGTTCAATAGGAAATCATAGACAAACTAGGAAGGTGTCCTGTGAATTTGAATGCACTGATTCGTTTCTGTATCTGTCACTGTACACTTTTCTATTTCAGATATTAAGAGTTTGATGCAGCTGAGTGTTATTTGAGGGCTCCCCTATTGTGGGAAATATAATAATTAACTATCTCAAAAATATGTGAGAAGCTACTTTGGGCGTTTTATTTTTTTCAAGTCATTGATGAATACCAACCTGTGGTTCATTTGTGAGCAATTATTTAAACTAGTCACGTTCACTCACATTTAAGTTTGAATAATTGTAAGTTTCACAGTCCGTAAAGGACTTTCAAATTTATTATTTCATCTTGTATTCTCAAAAGCTTGGAGATGAGAGGTGGGAAAGACAGGAATTCATGCCCTACTTCTCAAAGGAGAAGGTTGGGAGATACTCAGTGGCTGCTATGAAGTTGATATTCAGAAATCCACCCAAGAATTCTGAACACCAGGCTCACAACTCTCTCCAGAAAGTAACTTCGCCCTAGCTGAGATCTCAGGAACTGGGTGATCAATGTCTTAAGAGAAAAAAGACAAAGTCAACTAGACGTCCGGAGACTTAGGTGTGAGCGTGCACTCATTTCTCTGGAGGTTTTGCCTGGGCTTCTCTCCCAGGCCTGGAAAGGACGGAGGAAGCAGAAAGAAGACTATTCTTAGAATCATTAAGTGCTCTCTAGCAGATACGGTAGAGATCACAACTCGAAATGCCTGGGAGGGTTCTCTTAACTGACAGGCTTGATATAAATACATTGCTCACTGCAGATGGCACCCACTACGGAGCTTTAGGCAAAAGTCAAAGATAAAGTTGCAATCTCTAGTCAAATGCTGTACCGTGGAAGCCCAAATACTCGGTATTGAGGGGAATATATTGCTAATATGACCACATCTCTAAAGCAGGATTGTGAGAAAACTCTAACTACAAGTTGAAGAATCTCAGCTCCATTTATGTGAAATTGCTTAACACCAACCTAAGAGCTAGGCTTATTGAGGAGAAATAGAAGCACTCTTGGGTAAAAGGCAAAATGGTTTATATAATGGAATATCTTGCATAACAAATGAAAAGTTTTGCAGGGCTGTACATAAGTATGCAATCAAAAGGAAGGACGTAATTCACTTTTATCTTTCCAGAATCTGCTTTGACCTTCAAACAAAATCACTCGCGTTGGTATTCTCTGCAGTACCTGCGTCCTCCTCTGCACATAGTTGGTGCTTAGTAAATGTTTTTTGGTTTAATTAAACTTTCTAGTTAATACTCATATTTTAAACTATTTTGTTATAAGCTAGACTCTGGTTAGAATATGAAGAGAAATGCTTGCGAGGAGTCCATTGATGAACGCTATTTTTAATATATTTTATGAATTACCTGGTGGTGTTAAGAGAATGATTTTGCAGCTCAGATTCTGTAATTCTGTAGCTCACCAGCATTTTGTGTAAACTCAGTGAAGAACTTTAGCCTCCCTGTGCCTCGATGTCATCATTTGGGAATGAGAACCCGCAGGCTGTGAGTTGAAGTCACCTCCAACCGCATGATGACCGGGAGTTTGAAAGCAGCCTGACACCCGGCCACCAGGAACTCTAACCCTGTCGAATCTCCAACACATTACGGACAGGCCCCTGCTCCTCTGCTCATTTCTGAAACTTATTTTTAGACACTGCTTCTCCCCCACCCACCTGTCCTCACAGGACTGTGCGCTCTGGTTTGGGAACAGGGATTTGAGCTTTAGCCAAAGGGGTGTCAATGGCAGGTGCTGAAATACATCTGAACATATCTCACCCCTGAGTCCTCCTGAGGATAGAAAAAGGCACAACCTGGTATCACAGAATCTTTTATTACGGGTATGGTGATAATTCCGAGTATTTGTTCCCTAATTTTATGCAAAGCATAGGCTGTCAGTGAGAGATCAAGAATGAGTTTATGAAACAAAATAAAAACTCCACGAAGTGTCGGGGTGCACGTAGCTTCGATTTGGAACCCCTTGAAGCGATTGTAATGCAAAGAGGAAAGTGTTTTTTTCCCCACCATTTTTGTCAAAGTTTAACTTGGCATTGCCACATCCCTAGTGTCTTGTAGGGAGGCAACATCAGCTCAAGGGAGAAGGCCTCTTGGTTTAAGGAAGGAGACCTCTGTTGAGGCTCACAGATGTCCGAGTTGCTGAATATCCTGGGTGAACAGGTAGGAATAAGAGCCAATTGGTAAGGTCTATAAAGGGATTTGACTCAGATAAAATACACCTTCCACATTAACATTTATTCCCATCTTCTCACGTTAACTCTTAGGGCCTGGTTCTTTGCATGTGGGAGATGCTCAGTGGTTTTTTGAAAATCATATAGTGTTTCTTCTAACTCTGTGACTGTGAATGCATTTGTATTTTAATTGGAAGGTTAAAATACCATGAGCTATTATGGGCTATTAGGACCTAATTTTGCTGCAAGAATGAGTAGAAAAAAATGGCCCATATCTTTAATGTAGGGAAGGTAGGAGGACTTTTTGGAAAATGTAATCCAAATTTTGATCTTAAAAAGATATGAGCCATGGACTTGGATTATGCACTGTCAAAATCAGTCTAATGTGTTATTACCTCAGGAGAAAAAGTTAACCATTCTTAGAACGATCTAACCTGGTGTTTAAAAATAGAAACAAAATATTTTCCTACTCTTCAAAAGCTATGTTGCAGCTGTTCATGGGAAACTTTGCATGTATCATCCCTCATCTTGCTTTTATAGACAGACAGATACATTCTTTCAATATGGGAAGAACGGGGAACCAAATGTTAGGAGGAGGTGGCTGGAATGTCTTCCTTGTAAGAACTGACTGAAAAAATTAGAGTTCTTTTGTCTGAAAGATGAAGGCCGAGGTGAAGAAATGATCAAAGTTTGTAAATTCATGAAAGGCATTGCTAACGTGATCATGGACCTCTTAGCCAAATCCCAGAATATTTAAACTGTGGCGTCAGCCTTTGAAGTTTGAAGAGGGTAGTTTTAGGATAGATGAAAGGAAGTCCTTTCATACAGCAGAAAGGAAATTTATGGAAGTTTTCAGAAGTTACAGGCAGAAAATACTGCCTACACATTTTTAGGGGACAGGATCGATCTGTTTAAGTCTCTTGTGAGGAAGATTGTGTTACATGCAGAGCCTTTTAAGGGAATAGAAAGAGTCCATGTTCCTTATGAGACTCTCTTAGTTTCACTCTCTAGGTTATAATACATAGGGAGGAAAAATTACTTGTTCTAAGATGTTCATAATGGTTAATAAATGTTCATGTATGGAGCTAGGGTAAAAATACGAACATGACACCTGTCAGTGCCTACTCAGGCTGTGATTTCTGAACTTTCTGTTTTTAGAAGAGATTGGTGTTCTCCAACTGGGGTCACTGGAACTTCTGTCTTCATAGGAGACCTGACTTCCATTTGCCTCTGATGCTCAGGCACAGCCCTCGGACGTGGACATCATCAAACGTCCTCTTCGCCTTGGAAGGGGGCAAACAAAATCCATATTTCAACTCCATTTTCTCACTGGGAGGAGAGAGGGGCAGGTAAAACCCATATTTCCACTTCATTTTCTTTATATAGTTTGATCTCATTGTATCTAAATAATGACTTCTTAGCAACACATTCTTTTCACACGTGGGCTCTGCATCTTGATTTAGATGATTTCCACGGAAATACCTTTCCTTCCTTCCTGGCCATCTGTTTAAGTTGGACCATCATCCACCCGGGATCTATCAAGAGCTGGGCAGCACTCCGATTTCACACACGTTTCTGATCACTCTTCCTAACAATCCGGGCAAGCACACAGGGCAGAAGTCACGGACGGGCCACCTGGGCGGGCGCTCCGGCCCAAGCTTAGCAGGGCCCCATGCTGGGTTCTTTAATGCCCCCTCGTCACTGCCTTGAAATTCTTAACCTTGCTTGTTCATGGGGCCTGCATGTTCATTTTGCACTGGGTCTTGCAGATTCTGGAGGGGGTCTTGGAGAAATGTCCTTTAATCCCCGTTAACAAATGAAGAAAGGAATGATCGGAACCAGCGAGCCGCTCATCTAGCACAGGGACTCGCCAAGGGAGCGGCTGAGAGGAGTTGTCACCTTCGCAGAGAGGCCCTGCAGGCCGTCTTCCACAGTGGGAGGCCACTGGCCACACCCCCAAGGAGAACACAGCGTTGTCCCCAGTGGCACTGCTGTAGGGAGGGCAGGTTTTCCAGATGCTGGGGAAGCACAGTACTTTCTGCATTTCAGTAAAGACTCATTTCTTCTCGTTGACCTTGGACGGCCCTGCCGGATAGGAGGTGGGGACTGGCACTGGGGACAAACATGGCTCAACACACTTTCAAACACGATGCACAGCCTCGATGAAGCCAGCCAGCCCTTTTGGCTCGAGCCCCACATTCCCTGCAAATGAGTGTTCTGTACTGAAGGACAATTTCCCCCTCACTGGGGCCTTCCTGTGGCCCCTCAGCCCCTGCCCCTGTCCCCAAGGCTGTGCAGGGTGTGCTGGGCACTAGGGGACAGTGACCCCGCTGTGGTATCAGTGCTCAGGAGCAGAACAATGATGCCATTTTCTTCGCTGAAAGGTCTTTTTTCAAAGCAAAATAAAATGCCCAAGGCTCGAGGGCCTTTGTTTTTTGGCTGAAATGTCTCTGTCCTCCCAGCAGGTTCCTGTTTTGTGACAATTCCTGCCAAAAGGTGTTTGACAGGCTTGGCTCCCCAGTGACCACTCCCTGGGACAGGCCTGCTGCCCACCGATAAAATAAGAGGTGCCGCCCAAGACCCCTGTCCTCTCAGGGCTCTGGTGTTTAAAGTCTCCATTGCATGTCATCCTTTATCTCCCCACAGCTGCTGCCTGGGTGAATGAAACATTTAATGCCTTGCTTCTTGTTTTAAGTGATGTTTCAGCTAATAGCAGCAGCTGAGTAGCCAGATGGAAAGACAAGGGCTAATGCAGTGACCGAAAGGTCTTTACAGTCGAGGCTGCTGGAAGAACACAAAAGAGAAGTTGTTTTGCCCAAGAAGAGGAAGGGGCGCTTGCTTTGAAACTTCCTTTGCTCCACCGTCTAGTTTGCACCATGGCCCAGGATGACCGTGGGCAGCTTTGCACAGCTAGCGTGAAGCCGTCTCTGCCATCGTGTGCATCTGTGTTACATGTTTGAGAATGGAAGGCCGCTCCTAGGCAGTGCTGGCTGCAGGGAAGGGGACACGAACTTAGCTTAGTGCCCTAGGGTCCTGGGCTTGGCCGTCTGCATGATTTCCAGGATGATGGTGGGCAGCTTTGCACAGCTGGCGTGAAGCCGTCTCTGCCATCGGGTGCCTCTGTGTT
This sequence comes from Homo sapiens, assembly GCF_000001405.40. Taxonomy (NCBI): domain Eukaryota; kingdom Metazoa; phylum Chordata; class Mammalia; order Primates; family Hominidae; genus Homo; species Homo sapiens. The sequence continues at coordinate 3,570,019 of NC_000010.11, read as the reverse complement.
ACATGTTTGAGAATGGAAGGCCGCTCCTAGGCAGTGCTGGCTGCAGGGAAGGGGACATGAACTTAGCTTAGTGCCCTACGGTCCTGGGCTTGGCCGTCTGCATGATTTCCAGGATGATGGTGGGCAGCTTTGCACAGCTAGCGTGAAGCCATCTCTGCCATCGGGTGCCTCTGTGTTACATGTTTGAGAATGGAAGGCGGCTCCTGGGCAGTGCTGGCTGCAGGGAATGGGACACGAACTTAGCTTAGCCCTCTGCTGTCCTGGCCTTGGCCATCTGCATGATTTCTTCACAAGGGGACCCACATTTTCGTTTTGTTTGAGTCCCACAGATTTTGTCCCCAGCACTGCCTGTTAGTGTTTCCTACCAACACTAAGGCTCAGCACGGAAGGCCCCAAACTCCTTTTCTTTATGATATGAAATCACTGCGTTTCTACTTAAAATTAGATGTTATGTGCACGTGCACTATTGGGTGTGTATATGTCTGTTTTTTTTCCTTTTTTACTTTCCAAGCCTTTTCTTATTGATATATAGTAGATGTACATATTTGGGGGTACCTGTAATAATCTAATACTTCCATGTAATCAAATGGTAACTGGGATATCCATCACCTTAAATATTTATCTTTTAGTTACACTGTGTCTGTTTTTAAAGAGGTGCTTGTGAATCAGAGAAAAGAATGCTGGCAGGTGTATTTTGAATTAGAGTGATAAAAATAATAGAAAAACTTCCGAGTGAATTTCACATCCATTTGCAGTCATTGTTGCTCCATCTGTTCCAATGTAATGTGATATTTCTTACCTTCACCTCGAACGTCATGTTCTTGGATTAGATTTCAGTTTATTCACTCAGTACATGATACAATGGCTGGCCTGTTCCTCACAGGTGCATACTGAAATGAGGTGCCTTGCCCATATTATTATGGGCACATAATAATATGTGCCCATAATATTATCACAGCTCCAACCTCTACTACCAGGAAGCAAAAGGCTCACTTTTTTTTAAGTTATAAATTTTGGTAAAATTTTTCACTTTTTTTAAGTTGTAAATTTTGGTAAATTTTCTTTAAAGGGACTCTGTATGGAGCCATTGACCATGCAATCTATGCGATGGGCATGCTTGCGTTTCTAGGTGGCTTTTAATTGTAAAGGACACTAGATTTTAGAACACATGCAGGTAGTGAAATGGCTACATTTGTAAGAGGAAGAAGAAGGGTGGCAGGAGAGAGAGCCCATGTTCCTCACGGCTCTGTGTCCCAAAGCTGGCCCCAGGGCAGGTAAGGACAGGGAATTTGGGACTTGACCTTCATCTTGGTATTCGTCCCACAGTTCTAGGGTCTGGTTTGCCAGATCCTATACGGTTGGGGGGTGGTTTGCACACTTCCTGTGTTAAGGACCAGATAGTATCTATTTCAGTCTTTGTGCACTGTAACGTCTCGGTTGCTGCTACTCAACTCTGTGGCCACTGCATAAAAGCGGCATGGGCACTGTAAACCAATGAGCATAGCTGTGTTCCAACAGGAACAATCAAAAATAACAACAACCTGCTCCTCGTGCTTGTCAGATATGGTGGCCCTGATAGCTCAAGCACAAGGAATGATCAATTTTTTATACATTCTGCCATGCTGAGAGAAGGACCTAAAAAAGTCCATGCAGAGAAGTAAATGGCAAATAAGCTTCATTTATAACCTTCCCTGAGACATACATGTCTGTGCACACAGGTGGTGTGGGTGAAGGGTTAAGGACTGAAAGAGGCATGGCTCTGGTTGGACTTGAGACAAATGCGTGAAGCCTCAATATGTAGTGGATGAGCCAGTGAGGGCCTGTGAGGCCTTTTCACGCCTTGTGTTCCTGCCATACAGACCATGCCTCCTCTTCTACCAAAGGCCGGTCAATTCTCTCTCAAGGAGTGGACGATGCTACCCAGAAGGATTCTCTGAAAAGATGCAAATCTATTAGGAGGTGCTAATTTAATTTAATTTAGCATTAAATAAACTAGATCCACCAGGAGACAATGAAAAGCAGCTTCTTTCTTCCCCAGGTCTGTCCCTCTGCTGGCGTTTCCTCCCCAGAGATGGAATTCCAGGCAGGTTCCTGGAGGGATGGGCATAGACACCACTGGGTCTCCTGCGCATGAGGCCTCTGGATAGACTCCCTCTCAGCAGAGGGACCCAGCTGTCATGCACGAGGCCCACATCCAGCAAGTGCATACTGTGGTCCCATTGTCAGTAAAAGGGTATGGCCTCTCTCCCGTCTGAAAGATCCAGCCAGACTCACCTTTATCCTTTCTCAGGCATAAGTCAAATATTAGTCACTTCTTCCTCAGATCCCAGGGATGTGGCTCAAGCTCTTTAACTGCTTTTTGTGAGGCTTATCTGACTTATCCTGAGGTGAGAAGGGAGCAATTCCCTTCTCCCGTGGGGTAAGCAGAGGCAGGGCAGGCGCTTTCCAAACCTCCTCAGCCCCTCACTGCTGATGTTGTCACCTTCCCGTATATCATGGTGAAGGTGATGATGCAGTAGCTCTGCCCACGGTGCTCCCCTGTTCCCCTGTCTCCACAGCCTGAGTAGAGTGTCCAGCAGCCACCTGCAGTGGGCGAAAGTCCTTTGTGCCTGTGGTTGTTGTTGGTGGTGGTAGTGGTGCAGTTGGGAGCTTCTGCTGAAAATTTTAGGACAACAAGAGAAGCACGTCTAGCACCCAGTTACATCTGCAAACAGCCACAGCAGCAGAGCCAGCAGCTTTGCAAATGAACATGCACAAATTCTTTTGCTTCCATTTTGCTTTCTAGGTACCAGTAAGATAAGACAGAAAATGAAGAAAGGAGATAAGAGAAAAAAAAAGATGTCTGACTAAATGAGGTAAGCAAAAGCTTGCCTATCTCTTCATTATGATAAAAAAAGTATTTTCCTTTAAGAAATGTTTTTAACTGCTATCAAAAATAATCAGAGGAGGGAAAATGTGCCCTTGTAATATTTCTGGGCTTTCTTTATGTTCTTGGGCTGTTCCTATCATTTCTCTATGAGTTTGATCTGCAGCAGGTAAGAAACAGAGCCTAATGGAGCGGCACCTTGCCTTCATGTCATCAGTTCCAGCAGCTGGTCCTTGGCTCACACTGAAGAAAGAGAATGAAGCACCACTTCCTGTGAAGAAGGGTTTGTTTTGAGACAACATTGATCTCCTGTATGCTGCCAAGACATTATGTAATCAAGTGCTCTACATTTAATGTATGCATGGTGTCATGGGGCTGCTGTCATCTTTGACAAAACAATATGCTTTTTAAATGTCTACTTTTGCAGTGTGCAGTGGCTCATGCCTGTAACACCAACACTTTGGGAGGCCAAAGCAGGTGAACTGCTTGAGCCCAGGAGTTTGAGACCAGCCTGGGCAACATGAGACCTCATCTCTACAAAAAATACAAAAATTAGCCAGGCATGGTGGCAGACACCTGTAGTCCCAGCTACTCAGGAGGCTGAGGTGAGAGGGTCGAGTGAGTCTGGGAGGTGGCAGCTGCAGCATATGGCACCCCTGTGCTCCAGCCTGGGTGACAGAGTCAGACCCTGTCTCAAAACAAACAAACAAATAAATAAATACCTACTTTGGGAAATATATATTTATAAACATTATGACCCAATACAGGTATCTCTTTCTAATCCAAAGACTGCTTCTAGTCTGTGTTCTAAATCATTCCACCTCCTCTTCGAAGCATCCTATGATCTAGGTGTAGAATGTTTTTAGATAGAACACCTTTTCCGGGGAGAGGGAATGTTTACATATCACATTGAATATCAGTTTTGTGGTATACAAAACTTGAGAGGTTAGAAGGACAGTTGTGGCTCAGCTCACCATTCTGAGGGCCTGCAGTTTGGGCTGGGTTCAGCCGGGTGGTTCTTTTGCTGATCTTCCCTGGCTCGCTCAGATAGTTTGGTCAACTGACACATTGGCTGAGTTGGTTGTTCCTGGATAGCCTCTCTCATGGGTCACATGCTCCAGCAGGCTGGCCCTGGCTCCTTTCCATGGTGTATGTGTTGTACAAAACTAAGAGAGAGAGAGACAGCAAAAGCTCCAGCACTTGGATGCTTTCGAGACTCTCCTTGCATTAGATTCATAATTGTCCCATTGGCAAAAGCAAGGCTCATGGCCAGCCCCAGATTCAAGCATGGTCATGGTGCCTGAAAGGCTTGTCTGTACCTTTTTCAATCTACCACTGTGTGTGAGTCCTGTCTGTATGGGGTGAGGCCAATGACCAAATCCATTAACCCTCCTCTCATTTGGCAGAAAAATAGTGTGGCTCACTGCCAGTGCTCATTTAACATAGACGAGCTCTTTGAGGCTAAGGAAAATCGGACTGACTTTCAATGTGAAAATAAAATATAAAAACTGTTCTTGGAGTTATCTCTAAACAGAACTAACATCAGAATTATCCGAATAATCAGAATCATGTATTTTGGAAAAATTGGACTCACCAAATGAATCTTTGGCCAACAACTATTGGAGAACGATGTTAACATCACATATAGGAATGCTACGTTTCCTAGGATTAGACATTTTCAGCGATCGATAGTTACTACACTTTTTAAATGGAACGACCACTACTAAAAACAGAATGCTACAAATAGAATGATGTCTTTTGTTTCCAAAGTTGACATACCGGAGTGATATAAAAATAATAATAAGAGCAGGATATTTTGTGGCGAAGTTATCACCGGGTAAATACTGCAATTGCAAGCACCGCTGGCAAGTATTCTTGGGGCAAATGGGAAAATGGTTAATTAGAATCAGGTTTAAATTTGTAATGTTTTATTTCTATAATATTTTTAAATTATAAAAGAAGGGCTCATTGAAAAATCTTCAAATATTAGAGAAAGACATAACATATAAAGCAAATGTCTCTGTGATGGTTATATATTTTATGTGCCAACTTGAGTAGACTGCATAGGGCGCCCAGATTAGACATTATTTCCAATGTGGCTGTGAGGGTGTTTCTGGATGACATTAGCTTTTGGATGGATGGGTGAATGCAGGAAAGCAGATGGCTCTCCCCAGTATGTGTGGGTGCCATGGAATCCATCTTCTGCCCTCAGACTGAGGTTTCACTGTTGGTTCCATGGCTCTCAAGCTTTAACATTCAGACTAAATTACCCATTTTCCTGGTTCTTCAGCTCACAGTCACATTATGGCCTCCATAATTGTGGCCTCCATAATCACTTAAGCTTATGAGTCATAACACACACACACACACACACACACACTCACACACAGAAAGAGACAGAGAGAAGAGAGTCTTTCTGAGACTCTGAGAGAGAGCGCCAATCGGGTATATCACTAAGAAGACACACAGGTGGGTCTTAGGATTTAGAGATGTTTTCTTTTCTGAATCAGAAGAAGCCTGCACGAAATCATATGAGCTACTGTTCATAGAACACTTCAAATGTGCATGGCAGAGCTTGGGTGGCCCCTCATATGTTAATCATTGAATATTCACAGCAGCTCTATTCCCATCTGGCATAGGAGGAGCTCAGGCCCCGAAGAGGAAAACTAACCTGCCTGGGTAGGACATGGTATCCTGTGATGCCAGCCCAGGGAGCCTCATCCCAGAATCTGGGGTTTGGGCGAACATATTGTGCCGCTCTTTGATTTCTCACAGCTCCTCCCCTGGTTCTTTCTCTCGGTGTCTGTGGGCACCATGGAATCCATCTTCTGCCCCTAGACTGAGGTTTCACCACTGCTTCCACGGTTCTTAGGCTTCTTTCTCTCGTGAGCCTGGATGCAGACCAAAGCTGTGGTGGCCGTCCTGTGACTCCAGAACTGGAGCACTGGTGACATTAGCCCTAGACTTGCTAAGGAGCACTGGTGACATTAGCCCTAGACTTGCTATGTCCAGACTTCTTGTTAATTGACAAGAGCTAATTTCATCTGTTTAAGTCTTTGTACTGATTTTCTGTGACTCCATCGAAACTCAGAAAATTTGCTGTGCAATTTGAATTTTTATTCATTAATATACTTCAGAGCTGTTTCCATGTGAATACCAAAGTATATGTATAGATTTACCACATTATTTATAATGTCCACATAGGATTGTGTCACATGGATGCCCAACAAATTATTAATTAGACCCATTAGGTGTAAACATTTAGGCTGTGTTTACTTATTTGCCATAACAATGCTCTGTGGACACCCTGTGTCAAGTCAAGCGTCTTTCCCAGTAGTAGAAATTGAGATTCTGGTTGATTGGAGCAGGAAAGAAATTTACTAAAAGGATTTTTGGCAGTTCACAGCCAGCAGAACAGATAAAGTATTGATTCAGAAAATGGGATGAAGAAAAGGTTAGGCATTGAGAACTATTGCCCAAACCATGTGCAGAGGCAGCAGTGGGGGACTTCCCACCACCACCCTCAGCTGCTGCAATTTGCGTGGGTTCCCCATTGGTACTAGTGTGTCCCGGATGCTGCTACCTCTGTTTCTCTTAGAAAAGATACAGTTTTTCCAGCCACTGCCCTACATATTTCCACTGCCTTTGCTTCTTTGTTTAACCATATCCAGGTTAGAAATGAATCAGTAGCATGATGGAGTTGAGCCTTGCTCACTCTCACACAGTTACCCAATGGACCACATCAGGAGGGCAACCATCAGCACGAGGGCCCAGCATCTTCAGTGTCTATGGTGAGTTATGGGCTCTGTTCTCACCAAGACTTACACATGGGAGATTTCTCCAGATAGAGGAAGGAGACCTTGTGTAGCCAGACTGGAAAAGAAAAGGTTCTAGGCCGGAAGCGATGGCTCACACCTGTAATCCCACCACTTTCAGAGTCCAAGATGGGCAGATAGCTTGAGGTCAGGAGTTTGAGACCAACCTGGTCAACATGGCAAAACCCCTTCTCTGCCCAAAAAAAAAAAAAAAAAATCAGCCAGGCATTGTGGTGTGGCCTGTAATCCCAGCTACTTGAGAGGCCGAGGCAGGAGAATTGCGTGAGCCTGGGCGGCAGAGTCTGCGGTGAACCCAGATTGAGCCACTGCACTCCAGCCTGGGTGACAGAACAAGACTCCATCTCAAAAAAAAAAAAAAAAAAAAAAAAAAAAGGAAAGGATCTTGCATTCTCATCCATGAATCCATCTGAACTTGTGCAAGTTAATTTTCTGGGCAAGTCTTCAGAAGTGAGGCGTCAGGATCAAAGTTTTATATGCATTTCAAAATCGGGAGACGCTTCCAGATTTGTCTTACAAAAAGTTTGTACTAATTTATAGTCCCACTGCCAGTGGACGCAAGTTCTGATTTCTCCACACCCTCAAAACACTAGATATTTTTAGTTATTCAAATGAAATGTTTGTATAAGAAGCACTTACGCACCTCAAAAAATTCTTAGTTGGAATAGTCTAATCTTGCTCTGTCTGTGATTTTATATACTTAACACGTGTGTTCTCCCTTAAAACAGTAAACAACAACATTTTCAAAGAGGAATACATCTGTTAAGATACTAATAAATTTATTTTGAATCTTTCAGACGATTCCAAGTTTATTTTGTAGTATTGTATATGCATTAATAGAAATAAAAATACATCTTTATATCTGGATGCACACACACACATATATATATACACACACATAACTATATATGACTGAAATGTGTATGTTTGCATGTAGTTATATATACATAAAGAATAGCAAACTAATTTAAGTTTATTTTTTTCCTATGGTGAGATCACTTTCCAGCTAACATAAAAAATGTGTTAATACATTATATGTCTAATATGCTCCAACAGAGAGCAATGAGCTCAGTGAGATAGTTATGCTAAGCCCACTGTGACTTCCATGTTGAAATATATCCTGCAGTGCTTTATCTTTGCTTCTCTTAAGATATAATATGATACCTAAGATCTCCATTTCCTAAAGTTGTGGGTATCAAAAAATGATATTAAGGCCAGGCATGGTGGCTCATGCCTGTAATCCCAGCACTTTGGGAGGCTGAGGCAGGTGGATTGCTTGAGGACAGGAGTTTGAGACTGGCCTGGCCAACATGGCAAAATCTTGTCTCTACTAAAAATACAAAAGTTAGCTGGGCATGGTAGCACAAGACTGTAATCCCAGCTACGTCAGGGGGCTGAGACAGGAGAATCTCTTGAACCCAGGAGGTGGAGGTTGCAGTGAGCTGAGATCGCACCACTGCACTTCCAGTCAGAGCGACAGAAAGAGACTCTGTCTCAAAAACAAAACAAAACAAAAGATATTAAAAGTAATCATGGCAAAAGTCCATGGTCTAACAAGTTTGAGAGATCTTGGGTTAAGCAAATTAAACATTACTTTTCTGCAGGGCCTCTACCTGCCCTAATAGGCAATTAATAGTTTAAATCTCCAAGCCAAGAAAATAATTGGGAGCTTTTCCAATTGATAAAATAGATCTCTTTTATCATGGGACTACATCTATTTAGGGACTGTGTATTAAAAGTCCTAGTGTTAAGCGTATTCGAATGCAGGTGTTTATAGCCAGTGGGGACAACAGCCATATTGCTTTCCTGTGCCTAGACAGAGCACCTCAACTTAGTGACCCCCTAAATCTGGGGGGCTAACAGTGAATGACATCAGGTGTCCTGTGTGACGCAAACATTCTCCACCTCCCTGACTGCTGGATAAGCAAAGGATTCTCTCCATTTCATTGGAAATCAGACAACTGACATTCTTTCATGACTTCATTCCGAGTCTTGACTTGTCCGATGTGCACGATATCTAGAAACAACTTAACATTTGCATATTTATTAGTCATTTTAAAGTCCCCTTTGATAGAGCAGTTATTATTTAAATCTCATTTTGGCATCTTCTATTTTGGTTCAGTCTCCAATTTTCAATGTTATCATTTCTTTTTTTTATTATTATACTTTAAGTTCTAGGGTACATGTGCACAGCATGCAGGTTTGTTACATATGTATACATGTGCCATGTTGGTTTGCTGCACCCATTAACTCATCATTTACATTAGGTATATCTCCTAATGCTATCCCTCCCCACTCTCCCCACCCCACAACAGGCCCCAGAGTGTGATGTTCCCCTTCCTGTGTCCATGTGTTCTCATTGTTCAATTCCCACCTATGAGTGAGAACATGTGGTGTTTGGTTTTTTGTCCTTGCGATAGTTTGCTGAGAATGATGGTTTCCAGCTTCATCCATGTCCCTACAAAGGACATGAACTCATCCTTTTTTATGGCTGCATAGTATTCCATGGTGTATACATGCCACATTTTCTTAATCCAGTCTATCATTGTTGGACATTTGGGTTGGTTCCAAGTCTTTCCTCTTGTGAATAGTGCCGTGATAAACATACGTGTGCATGTGTCTTTATAGCAGCATGATTTATAATCCTTTGGGTATATATCCAGTAATGGGATTATCATTTCTTAAGGGCTTGAGCAGCTTTTTGCTGCCTCCTCTGTGAGGTTTGGGCTAGAGATGAAGATGAATGATAGTTTTCACGATATGTCCTGCTTGTCCACAGCATGAGGTAGTGTCTTTACCTGCTGCCTGTGCTCTGTTTGATTGGAGTGTACTTCCCCATCATGGTCACCTATCAATCACGTGCTTATCTTTGGAATTGGGGCTTCCTGAGCCACCTTCCCCTGGGGAGGGACAGTATCCCTGGCCTCCTTAAATCCCTCTAGCCTGAGACATCTCAACCATTAGTTACTTGGCATCTAAGGGCTCAGATGGGTTTTCCAGCACATGGTATTAATACATCTCAATTTAATGCTTCTTGGACAAATAATTGAATAATCATGCTCTTGAAAGCTCTGCTTACTAGATTTGAATTTTTCTTTAGTAAAACTGGATGTTTCTGAAAATGTAGTTCTATAGTTCAACAAAATAAAGCTAGAAATGAGTTTTCTTGTCCAATGTTTCTCAGACTTAAGTCACACATGCATGCCTTTTAAAGAAAGTAAAAGGTCCCATGGACTCACAGTGTTAATTTAAAGAGCTCAAATATAGTATTAATATTAAAATATACAATATGATATATAGATATAATAGCACAAACTTTTAAATATGTACTATATTATATATGGTATATTATAATTATAATATGGATCAACTTGAAGCGAGGTATAAATACATTATGCTTTTTAGCTTGGCAAAACAAAAGCTAATGTAGACTTGTACATGAATACAAGATTTAAAACCAATAAAATTCAAAATACCATTGCTTAATTTAATACGGCATAGTAGACTTTGCTCCTAAGGAGCTGCTATTCAAGATGCAAGTGTGACAGGGTGAGGCGTGGAGCCCTGGTTTCAGCAGGACTTTCCCACAGTTGCTATGTGATGACCAATCCACCCTCTGCTCTCCTGTAGCCAAGATTCTCCAACAACTTCTTCCCCGGTTATCATAGCACTGTCCTGTCATTTTGAGTTCACTAAGTGGAAACATTTTTTCTCATTAAGTGTATCTCTGTCTTTTCAGCATTGGGCCACCACAATGACATTAGTAATGTTTTATACCAATTTAATTAGAAATATCCATAAAAATAGATGCTCAAAAACTCAAAGGCACTATTCAGTCCTGAGGTGGTTTGAGAAGACCACATCACACACTTGTTAACATCATTGGTGAAATGAAATCATAACACCCAAATATTTTATAGGTGAGACCATTTACTGAGAACATGCCCTCATTTGAAAATCACTGCTGAAGGCAGAGGCCTCTGCATTCTTCCCAAGCCTGTATCTGCCAATGCACATTTTAGAACATAAAATTATTAACTCGAAGCAAAATGAACAATTCAGTTAATCAGAGCACATCCCTCCTTGGCCATAATGATTAACTAAGGTGTCCCTCTGGGTGTTTCAGTCCACACGCAACACTCATGGTGTCCCTCCATCAGTGGCAGTGACATGGCCATTTGGTAATGATTTCACAGCACTCCTCTCTACAGGGTGTTGTTGAACACAAGGTTTTTAAACATCAGTTTCAGTTTTGCATCTATCAAAAAAGGGGGGATAATCCTGAAAGCTTCTCAAGGTGCTGTGTGTCTTGTAAAAATTAAAGGGGGTTATGGACGTTGAGCCCTCTGTGCAGGAGCCCCACAGAGCTGGCTCTTCCCAGTTCTGCCCGTGCAATGTGGCCACTCCCGGGACCTCTTCACTCTTCTCCCGGGTCAGTCCCCATGCGGCCCTGCAGTGTTGACTTATCTTGTGCCACTGCCTTCGTCCTGTAAACTCCTGACGTGATAAAAGGATATTTTCTAAGAGGCTCTCCCATTATTAAAAGGAGTAGAGGGACCCTGACTCAGGAACATTCGTGTGATCTTCACTCTGAAGAGTGAGTTTCTGAGAAAGTCAACCCATGTGTCCACTAAGCTCGCACACCTGTCTCTTAGGGATTTCAAGAATGGGATGTTGTGATTAACATGTGTTCAGAACTTGAAAGGGGTTGAAGCCAAGAGGTACTCAAGCATTGCTCCTCATGTGTCCTGGAGTCTCCTTGTTTCAATTCTTGCCACATGGCAGAAAGAAAGGGATAAAACGCCTAAAATGGCCCTTAAACAGGTTGATGAGTCAAGCAACCTTGTTTAGACAACCTATTGGGTTGAAGACAGAATTGCAGCTTGAGAGGTAAGCCTTAAAAATGTCAGGAATCCACAGTCTAAGTCCGCCTCTTAATTAACGGGAAACTTCTCTGCCAACATCAGAAACAAGACAAGCCACCCGCTAAAACTGGAAGACAAACCAAACATTTAAAATTAAAAAATACTAGAGTGGAAAGAAGGAACGGGTGAGGGGTAAGAAAGTTAGGCTTCCCTGATTATGTCTTGTTTTATAGATTTGATTGTGGAACCATACATATTTTTATATAAAACAAAATTAAACCAAAATTTACAAAGTAATTCCCAACTATTAAAAACAACAAAGAAAGGACGGGTGCAATGGCTCACGCCTGTAACCCCAGCACTTTGGGAGGCCAAGGTGGGTGGATCACAAGGTCAGGAGTTCGAGACCAGCCTGGCCAACATGGTGAAACCCCGTCTCTACTAAAAATACAAAAATTAGCGGGATGCAGTGGCGAGCGCCTGTAATTCCAGCTACTCAGGAGGCTGAGGCAGGAGAATCGCTTGAACCGGGGAGGCAGAGGTTGCAGTGAGCTGAGATTATGCCATTGCACTCCAGCCTGGGTGACAAGAGCAAGACTCTGTCTCAAAAAAAAAGAAAGAAAAGAAAAAGAAAAGGAAAATAATTGGCGGTAGCTATGTATCAAGGTGGTAGCTAAGCCACAAGTAAAACACTGTGTCTTGTAACTTTAACACCATAACTGAACGGCACTAACAGGATACATATTGTGGACAAAACGAATACAGAGACATTTTAAATTATTTTCCGTGTTTGTAATACCAGTAATAATACTGGTATTGTTATCTTAAGGGTTTATAGATTTCTAGATAGAGTCGATAATTAGGTTTGTGCCTTCAGAAACTAAAAATTTTAGCACAGGAAAAGGAGTGACATAAAAACTTTGTTAAAAAATTAAAAAAAAACTATAATTATAAATTTGAATTATACATATCAATATGTTTTATGGTGTATTTTTTCTTGCAAAAAAAAAAAAAAAGTATTTCTTAGCAGTATGTACTGAAAAATCCCAGAAATAACATCTCACCCAGAAGCAGTGAGGATCACTAGGCACTCGGATTGTGATCTCTAAATACCACTTCCCATTACAGGGTGCCAGTGCTCCTTGGAGTCAGAAAACGCTGATTCCGGCTCTGGGAAGAAAGTGATCCTGGACCAGCCTCTTGCTCCAGAAGGTGAGAAAGCCTCCTGTTCTTCCGGTCACGACAGAAGGAATCAGAAGCCGACTAAAAAGTTTTTCCAGGGGCCACATAGAGACAATTTTAGCGTCAAACAAATGATAACTACAATTGACGGCAACACGTTGGACCCATTAGGTCAGACTGATGCTGGGAATAAAGGCAGAACAGAAACATAAAGTTTTTTTTAAAAAAATTTCACCCTTTTTAAAGAATAAATTATTCTGAAAACTAGTGAAGGTAGCGCATAAAACAAGCATTTATCTCATTTTATTTGTGGAAACTGTGCTTTGGGGGAACAAATGAGTGTTGAAGGAATGGTCTTTATAGATGAAATCTGGGCAATACAAGAGGAAATCGGAACTATTAGGTTGGTGGAAAAACCGTGATTACTTTTGCACCAACCTGATACAATATCCCAGTTGGGCAATCTCGAATGACGCAAGATGAGCGTCATCATCATCATTGCTGCCAACCCATCTGGTGAGGAGCTGGGAGAGAGCGTGGAAACACTGAGCCGGCGGCTCCATCGTTACAACGCCGCAGGCAAACAAGGGGAATTCTGGGAGAGAGCGTGGAAACACTGAGCCGGCGGCTCCATCGTTACAACGCCGCAGGCAAACAAGGGGAATTCTGGGAGAGAGCGTGGAAACACTGAGCCGCGGCTCCATGGTTACAACGCCGCAGGCAAACAAGGGGAATTCTGGGAGAGAGCGTGGAAACACTGAGCCGGCGGCTCCATCGTTACAACGCCGCAGGCAAACAAGGGGAATTCTGGGAGAGAGCGTGGAAACACTGAGCCGGCGGCTCCATCGTTACAACGCCACAGGCAAACAAGGGGAATTCTGGGAGAGAGCGTGGAAACACTGAGCCGGCGGCTCCATGGTTACAACGCCGCAGGCAAACAAGGGGAATTCTGTGGCTCCAGTGTGACACGGTGAGGGGCGCACATCGCCGTGAACTCCTTTTTCCCCCACAAAAATCCGAATCAAATTAAGCCTCTACATTAGCGCTGTTCAACAGAAATATCACGTGAGCTATCTTACAGTATTTAAGACAGGAATCTTAAATTTTCTAGTAACCACGTTAAAAAGGTAAAAAGAAATTGTTGAAATTAATCGTATGTTTTATTTATCCCAATGTACCAAAAATATAATTTCATAATGTTATCGATGTAAAAAGTATTGATGTGATATTTTACATTTTTTCATACATCTTTGAAATCTTGTGTAAATTTTGCATTAGCAGTACATCTTCCATTGCTGATTTCTCATTGGAAATAGTCTGTATTTAGAGTTTGTAAAATTTCCAGCTGAAAAACTAGATTTGTGAGCCGCAGTTGCTCCAGTCGTACTTGAAAATCTTCCAACAACCAAATAGAGTGTGTTTTAAAATTTACATTAATTTCAATTAACTAATATTAAAAGTTTTACAGAAGCCACATTTCAAGTGTTGAACAGCCACACGTACTAGTGGCAAGTGTGTTAAACAGCACATATGTAAATCTCGTCACCAGTCCACAGGAACGCACATGGTACCAAGAAGGGAAAGAAGATACCACGTATGTGCAGTCACTCAATTCAGAGTGTGGAAAATGCTACAGGGTAAGGAATCTGGTTAATTGCAATTAAAAAAAGAGAGAGAGATAACCTGTATATAAAATAAATTTAAGAGACTTGTCCAAGTAAATGTAATGTTTGAAATGTGTTGAATTCTGATTTAAACAAGCCAAACGTGTCTATACATATGTGTACACACATGGGCACATATATACAAACACATGCATATATATACATTTACAATCAATCTGAACACTCTTCAAGTACATACTTTATAGAATTAGTTATTGCTAATTTTTTTAGCCATATCGTGGTTATATTTTAAAAGAGAAAGGGACTATTTTGTAGAAACACAGACTGAAGTATTTACAAATGAAATGATTTCAAGTCTGAGATTTCCATAATAATCCCGGGGAGAGGAAGAGGTTACATGGGATTTTAGATGAGACAAGTTGGCCTGGGTTCATAATTGTTGAAACTGCATGATGGAGGCCGGGCGCACTGGCTCACACCTGTAATCCCAGCACTTTGGGAGGCTGAGGCAGGCGGATCACCTGAGGTCAGGAGTTCGAGACCAGCCTGACCAACATGGAGAAACCCCGTCTCTACTAAAAATACAAAATTAGCCAGGCGTGGTGGTGCATGCCTGTCATCCTGGCTACTTGGGAGGCTGAGGCAGGAGAATCGCTTGAACCCGGGAGGTGGAGGCTGCGATGAGCCAAGATCGCACCATTGCACTCCAGCCTGGGCAACAAGAGCGAAACTCCGTCTCATGATGTGTGAGTACATGGGGGTTTATTTTAAAAATTGACAGCATGTTAGATAGTAAGAAGTTTTGTCAGTGTAGTCAATAATCATAATGGTGTGTGGTTACATTTTTTAAAAGGTGGTGGGTGTGGTGGCACATGCCTGTAGTCCCAGCTACTCGGGAGGCTGAGGTGGGAGGATCACTGGAGCCCAGGAAGTGGAGGTTGCAGTGAACCAATATTGTGCCACTGCACGACAATCTGGGCAACAGAGTGAGATCCTGTCCTCGCTTCCCACAAAAAGGTTACCTATGGCTAACATAAAACAATATGAGGTCTTTGATTTTGCTGAAAACATTATGGGAGACAATTGTTGGGGCGGTGGTGAAGCAGGAGGAAACACACTAGGGGCATGACTCAGCCAGTGGAAGAGGCACACATCCCTGCTTCCCCACCGGACCCGGCTCCAGCACTCACGGGCTGTCCCTGCCAAGATTTGGGACCTGAGGACCCAGACATCACAGCCAGAGAGAGTTTAGGGGAGAGAGCATAGCTTACGGGCAACCTTACTTCACTTAGATAAACCACCCTGGGGCTGATTAAGAGACGCTGAGACCAGCCCCTCTTGCCGTAGCTGAACGCCTCTCGCTGGGAGTCAAGGCTCAAAGTTTTGTGTTTTCCGGTGTGGTCTGGCGTGGTTTTCCAAAAATCTAAGCTGTCCTTCCTAGACTCTGCTCTGCATACTCTGCTGAGCTTGACAAAGAAATCCTGAGGTTGACAGTTACACACACCAAAGGGGCTAAACAGGAAGGGGAACATCACACTCCGGGGACTGTTGTGGGGTGGGGGGAGGGGGGAGGGATAGCATTAGGAGATATACCTAATGCTAAATGACGAGTTAATGGGTGCAGCACACCAACATGGCACATGTATACATATGTAACTGACCTGCACATTGTGCGCATGTACCCTAAAACTTAAAGTATAATAATAATAATAATAATAATAATAATAATAAAGGTTCACATTCATTAATTTCTCAACAAAAGGCAATTCCTGGATTTGTTTACTGGGAATACGTGTGAACGTCATTAAATTGGGGTGGATGAGTGCTGATTACCACCTGAATTGTTTTAGAAACCCTGGCCTGAACCTCAACTTTTATCTGCCATCAAATGGAGTTACTTCCACTTGTGTCAGCCCTATTTTAAGAGATCAATGAAGGTTTATGAAGAAAAAAAGCCTTGTCACCTACTTCCAAATGAACTAAATTAATTAAGTTGCTGGGGCCAAATCTATGACACTTTTTGTATATCGTTACTTTTTATGGACTAGTTGCTCACGAGTTAGAACAAAAAGATGGGCCTTTTCAGCTGAGCACAATAGATGTTTGTTAACGAACAGGTATATTCATAATTTAACTTTCTTAGTTGCCAGGTCTGAATACTAGAAGTGTATTTCTGGTAAAGACCTGAGCAACTCCCAGTGTGTGGCAGGTGTGTAAAATTTGTGCTAGAATTAGTTGATAATAAATGTACTATTTGAAGGTTTTACACTTGAGGTCTAAATTTTAATATAGAAAAATTAAAAATGACAACTACCAATTCATGGTAAAAATCTCTTTAGACACACAATCTTCTATATCTCTAATGAGAAATGTTTCCTCCCCTCCCATTAGGAAGTCCGTCTTGTCTTTCTTTCTGTTGAGTTCAGGGAGAGTCTCAGAGGTGTCCTCAGAGGTGTGGACAAGGTAGATGTGGGAGCTGGACGGGAGACCTGGCCTGGCCTCAAAGCATCCCCAGCAGGGTGGGCCTGAGCAAAGAGGAAATGGACCCTGTGTACATGTGCAATGTTCAATTTCACCTGTGTCCTAACATTGGCATTTCAGCCAGGGTTCTTTGAAAGGCAGTAAAGCTGAAAGGGCTCTATACTTAGAGACTGTGGGTTTCACGTGTCTTAACTGGGCTGCTACCACTCATGCACAAAAACAAGACGTCTGATCCCCTGGTCCCCATCATCCCGACGGCATGGCCCTGATCAAATGCACCAGGATGGAAGCCCTGCATCAGCTGTAGGGACAGCCCTCGGATGGCTCCCACTGCAGAGAGCGCCTCCTCCTCCAACTGCCCTTGAGAACTGTTCTGGGTCTTCAGAAGTGAAAGGGCTAACCTATGGAACTCATTCGAAAGAGGACACCAAAAGGCTTCTGTGTTTTCAACAAATTCCTCCTGTTACTATTACCCTGCTACCCCCAACGGTGAACACCTGAGCACCACGGTAGGCCAGTGAGGAATGACATTCATGGCAGGCGTTCTGTCCAAAGAACGCTTCGTGCTGGACCATGTGGGATGCATCTCAGAATCGAAAGCAGGTGCTGCATGCTAGAAATGGGCAGAGGAAAGTGGAAAAAGGGGCTGATTTGAAAAACGTGGTTCCAGTTCCTGCCCTCACTGCTTTCTAGCAGGGAAAGTTGCCTGAGGGTGGGTACAGCTGGTGAGCTCATCACTGAGTCCCACGTATCCCATCCCCTTCCTGCTGCAATGGCCCAGCAGAGCAGGCTTGTCCACACTGGGCCGCAGGGACACATGTAAGGAGGTTGTTTCTGGGACTCCTGAAGAAGAAAATCCTCCCTTAAGAGCTATGGAAAAAAATTATCTCTCGTAAATGAGGAATAGTCCAGCACAGAGATCCGGGCAGCCCGGTTGAGACTGCTGGAGTGGGGGCGGTGAGCCTGCTCAGAAGAGGGCCAGTCCTGGGCCAGCAGAGACGAGGGTCTGACCCCGGAGCCAGCAGCACCTGTTTCCTGGGAGTCCCCACTGGGACCTTCCTGCCACACGAGCCCTCACAATCTCTTTAACCTTCTGCCCAGCTTGCGGTGGGTTTCTCCTGGTCTCCATGCAAGGGTTTCTCCTGATACATGACCTGAACAACAGCCAAACCCGGATCCATGACGGAGCAAAAGTGGTGACCTTGTGAATTGCAGGCACGGCCTCTTCTCATCATGGCGGTGGTATCTGCCAACACCAGGGCACCTGACAACTGCAGAGCTGCCCTCCTCACGCTTTCATGCATCATCCTGAGTTTGCCTTATTCGTTAGGAACCTGGGATCCTTTCAAATGAGAATGGAAAGTGCGGCAGCCATCCCTGCGTGCCAATGTCTGGTACAATCTGTACTTAACAAACACTAAATAAAACAGGTTTATAATACTCAGTGCCCTTGCTAGGTCGTCTGCTAGAGAGTCGTGAAACAAACACCAAGAGTTAAACTGATCTACACACTCACTGGAAGCCGGCGGCCTGCCTTGCTGGCTTGGGGAAGAAGCTGCTGCATCTCTGTTTACCTCTGGGCCTCATCTCCTAGGCCTGATTAGGAGACTCCTGTGTGGCGTTTACAGCCACCACACACCCTCTTCCTGTTTAGGCTCTGCAGAGATTTGCAACATGTTGCATTGTATATGATTTCCCGGCTGGTAAAATTTTCTGAATGAAGTCAAAGCTTCCCATACATCAAAGTCTTATATAAAAATAATTTTAATATGTAGAGAAGGAGGTGAATTCTTCCAGTTTAGAAAAACTACACTCATGTTCCATTACTCCCACACACACCAGAGGAGAAAGACAACTTTAAGAGAAGGGTCTTGGGAGCTGCACTTAGAAGACACGTTAAACTGGGTTAATATCATTTTCTAAGGCCTCATGGTTAAAATTCTACTTGGCATTATAAGTAAAATACAAGTATATCTCACTCACGTAATAGAAATTGCTACTGTTTCCAGAATTAGGAAGTAGTCCACCTGGGAATAATTTTTTTAAACTTATTTATTTATTTTTTATTATTATACTTTAAGTTCTGGGGCACATGTGCAGAACGTGCAGGTTTGTTACTTAGGTATACTTGTGCCATGGTGGTTTGCTGCACCCATCAACCCCTCATCTACATTAGATATTTCTCCTAATGTTATCCCTCCCCTAGCCCCCAACCCCCTGACAGGCCCCGGTGTGTGATATTCCCCTCCCTGTGTTTTCATTGTTCAACTCCCACTTATGAGTGAGAACATGCGGTGTTTGGGATTTGAAGGCACTACGAATGCCACTTGCATAGCTTCTTGGTGGAATTGCCACCTTGTTGGGGCTGTGTACTCAGGAACACTTTTAGGGTTCCTACGGCACCCGGATGGCCAGAAGTCCCCAGCATAATGATCATAACCCAAAGACAGGAGCTGGCTCCCCTGTCCAGCATGAACACAAACTAACACAGCTTCCCATGGGCTCAGGGGCCTCAGGACTAAATGTGGAAACTAAGAAATGATAAAAGTCAATAATAGTTTATATCCAACCCTACACAGGCTTATTTTAGACATAGGACTCTTCCCTTGCTTCCTGTACCTTTTTCTATGACTTGGGTTGGCTAACTGAGCCTGAAATCACCCTGGTGCCCTCAGATTGCTACCAAAACTCCACGGTTTCTCTTATTGTCCACTGGTTATTCATATACTCAGCATTTGAAGGGTTTCACAGAGTTTATAAGACACTCTCTGACACACAATGGTATTTAATCCTCATAAAGCTCTGGGAGGTAAGAGGACATTCATTATTATTCCACTTTTGTAGATGAGGGAAGGCATGATTCTGAAAGGTTAAGGGGTTGCTTTTGCAGCTGGCCAGCTGCCGTGGCTAGAAAACTGAAGCCAGAACTTGAAATCAGGATTTTAAGACCTAAATTCTATGTGAGGCTGAGGCAAGCGAATGGCTTGAACCAGGAGGTGGAGGTTGCAGTGAGCAGAGATCACGCCACTGCACTCCAACCTGGGCAACACAGAGAGACTCTGTCTCAAAAAAAAAAAAAAAAATTCTAAGCTCTTTGTAGCATTCCAACTCTGGGTAGACACACAGTAGGGCAGAGATGATGTCAACAGGAGGCTCCGGGGAGCCAGGTGTTACTTGATCATAACCAGTTTTATAACACCTGTATTACCTGAGAGGTGGCTTTACTTGTCATTGCTCATGTTAGTGACAACTTCAATCATTCATCCATTCATCCTTGCTGATCAAGGTAGCTAGTCACAAGTAATGGTTTCTATTTTAAGAAATCACTTATTTTGGGGGGATTGGGAAGATGTTGGTTAAAGGATACAGAATTTCAGTTAGGAGAAATAAATTTAAGAGGTTTCTTGTACAGCCTCGTGACTATAGTTAATAAATACGTATTGCGTACTTGAAAATTGCTAATAGAGGAGATTTTAAGTGCTCTCATCACAAAAAATGACAAGTATGTGAGGTAATGCGTGTGTTAATTAGCTTGATTTAGCCTTCCCACAATGAACACATAAATGAAATTATCATGTTGTATACCATAAATATAAACTTATTCAGAAATTACTCATCCTGGATGTCTGCCTCACAAAGTGATTTTTCTCCTGATTACCTTTACTCATTTTGGTTTCCTTTGCCCCAGTTATTTTGCTCCCCATCCCCCCGATTTCCACCAACTCCACCCATCCACCTTCTCCTCACGGTTATTCCAACTGGGACGCCCCTTCTTGCTGGTGGTAACTGTGAATGTTTCCCTCCAGGTCTAGCAGGCAGAACCCCACCTCTGGCCCTCTGGCCACACGAGGGAGGGATTTGCATAAACCCCTGGAAACACCTGCTAGCCCAGAAGAGGATCTTCAGCCACACTCATGAGCTCCCAACTCATTTAGTGCTGCATTTCACTTCTGTCCCCATTTTCCCAATAAAGAGATTCTCTCCTAGAAGAATGGGGAAAGTTCCATGTTAACCAATGAGAAATGGTACTAATTTGCCTTTTTCTCAAGCTTAAGAGGCTTACAACGGCGACATCTCCTAAACAAAGCTGCTTCAAGTCACAAAAGCCATGGAAAGCAACTTCCAGTACACACCTATACAGAATTATTTTTTTCTTCTCCTTTACTTGAAAATATTTCAAGGGGAACTAAGCCTAAAAGATTCTGGGCATTGGGTTGCTCAGGATACTAGAAAAAGAATCTTGCTGTTATAAACTGAGTGATCTCTGCATGACTCAGCATCCTCCTGGCCTCCTGTGGCCAGGCTGGAGGTCTCTTCTAAGCCTAGGTCCAGCCATGGTCCAGCAGATATCACCAATTCATATGCCATTTTCACTCAGGTCAACCAACATCCAATGCAGAGATAAGCACATGGTGAGGTTTTTCTCCTTGGGTGATCCCAAAGCAGAAGAGAAAGGGAAAGGAGAGCTGAAGGTATCTGTTCGGTCAGCCAACAGCCATCACCCAACGCGGGTTCTGGGCTGGAAGACTTCGGACTGATCTCTCTATATGTCAGCCCTTCAAGTGGTTCAATAACTGCAATGAAGAGTAGTTAATTGTTTTCTTCTTCCTATTTTTAATCGGGGTATTTGCACAGGCTTTTCAGTTTGGGTGCTCTGAGAAAGATTTATGTTTTCAGATTTCCTGTCTTCTAAATGTAATATATTGGCTACTATACAATCTGAAGATTCTGATAAGGATGGGGATGATAAATAGTAACGATCACAGAACTCAGTTAGCTCGAGCATATCAGAGTTTACCAGCTGTTTTCTTTGCCCTCTCTCTTTTACTCTTCATAACGCTCTAGGAGGATCTAGCATTTGTTCCATTCCACATTCCAGGACAACATCCAAACTAAACATGGCATTTTCTGAGAATCTTGCATTTCTCATCCCATGGACCAAATAAGGACGCTGACATTTTGAAATATGTTTAGCCCCAAACTGATTTAGTTTCAGGATAAATGAAAATGTGGAGTGCAGGGTTTCCAAAAAATTGGAAGCTTTGCAGCTACAGGCAAAGGGCGACAAACCCAGTAGAAAGCGGCGTCTCACAGCAGAATTACTCTTTCCACATACACCTGACGGATGGGGCTTTGGGTTATTTGGTTGTTTCTGGCCAGGCAGAATGGCTGAACAGACCCAGTGAGTCCTGTGTCCACAGGGGCTTGGGTGAGGCTGCCCAGGGCTGGACTTGCTGCCTGAACCAGAGCTGTCAACCAGGTTCCCTCTGCCCCTTCAACACATCCTACAAACGCACGGTCAAGAGAGCCTTCTCCGTGGGTACCCCACCCCATGCATGCTCTGTAAATTCACACTCAGGTTAGAGTTTACATGATTATCTCTCTGTTCAAGACCACTTGGAAGAAAAAGAAGCCAATTTCCAATAGCCCGAAGGCTATCATAAGTTTCGTGATTCAAACATGCATTTTTTATTTTAATTGAAATACTTTTATGGACTTCAAATTTAAGAAATTTGGAGTTAAGTTTGATGGGGATGGCATTGAACTTAACTCCAAATTTCTTAAGTTTAAAGTCCATAAAATTATTTCAATTAAAATAAAAAATGCATGTTTGAATCTTGAATTTTATGACAGCCTTCGGGCCATTGGAAATATCAAGCTACCAATGACTTTCTTCACAGAATTGGAAAAAACTACTTTAAAGTTCATATGGAACCAAAAAAGAGCCCGCATTGCCAAGACAATCCTAAGCAAAAAGAACAAAGCTGGAGGCATCACACTACCTGACTTCAAACTATACTACAAGGCTATAGTAACCAAAACAGCATGGTACTGGTACCAAAACAGAGATATAGATCAATGGAACAGAACAGAGCCCTCAGAAATAATACCACACATCTACAACCATCTGATCTTTGACAAACCTGACAAAAACAAGAAATGGGGAAAGGATTCCCTATTTAATAAATGATGCTGGGAAAACTGGCTAGCCATATGTAGAAAGCTGAAACTGGATCCCTTCCTTACACCTTATAGAAAAATTAATTCAAGATGGATTAAAGACTTAAATGTTAGACCTAAAACCATAAAAACCCTAGAAGAAAACCTTGGAAATACCATTCAGGCCATAGGCATGGGCAAGGACTTCATGTCTAAAACACCAAAATCAATGGCAACAAAAGCCAAAATTGACAAATGGGATCTAATTAAACTAAAGAGCTTGTGCACAGAAAAGAAACTACCATCAGAGTGAACAGCCAACATATAGAATGGGAGAAAGTTTTTGCAATCTACCCATCTGACAAAGGGCTAATATCCAGAATCTACAAAGAACTTAAACAAATTCACAAGAAAAAGATCAAACAACCCCATCAAAAAGTGGGTGAAGGAAATGAAGAGACACTTCTCAAAAGAAGACATTTATGCAGCCAACAGACACATGAAAAAATGCTCATCATCACTGGCCATCAGAAAAAGGCAAATCAAAACCACAATGAGATACCATCTCACACCAGTTAGAATGGCAATCATTAAAAAGTCAGGAAACAACAGGTGCTGGAGAGGATGTGGAGAAATGGGAACATTTTTTACACTGTTGCTGGGACTGTAAACTAGTTCAACCATTGTGGAAGACAGTGTGGCGATTCCTCAAGGATCTAGAACTAGAAATACCATTTGACCCAGCCGTCCCATTACTGGGTATATACCCAAAGGATTATAAATCATGCCACTTTAAAGACACATGCACACGTATGTTTATTGTGGCACTAGTCACAATAGCAAAGACTTGGAACCAACCCAAATGCCCATCAATGATAGACGACTGGATTAAGAAAATGTGGCACATATACACCATGGAATACTATGTAGCCATAAAAAATGATGAGTTCATGTCCTTTGTAGGGACATGGATGAAGCTGGAAACCATTATTCTCAGCAAACTGTCACAAGGACAGAAAACCAAACACCACGTGTTCTCACTCATAGGTGGGAACGGAACAATGAGAACACCTGGACACAGGAAGGGGAACATCACACACCGGGGCCTGTCATGTGGTGAGGGGAGTAGGGAGGGATAGCATTAGGAGATATACCTAATGTAAATGATGAGTTAATGGGTGCAGCACACCAACATGGCACATGTATACATATGTAACTAACCTGCACGTTGTGCACATGTACCCTAGTCCTTAAAGTATTATAATTATAATAATAATAATAATAATAATAATAATAACAATAAAGAAATTGGGAGTTAAGTAAAACCACCTTGTTTCCAAAAGTTAAGGATAACCTTACAAATTAAGAATTTATACATGAATGGATTCCCCCTTAAGTTATAGAACGAGACCATTTTAAAATTATTTTGTCAATGTATTTCAGTTACATAAAACAGTTGTTACATCAGTACCAGTTGTTTCTTTCTTTTTTGCCAGAAATAAGCGTGTTTTTACATGGAACACATCTATCTTCTAAGTGCAGTTGATTGTCAATATTTGTGAATGTATTGTTTATAGTACACAGTCCTTTATAGGTATATATGTATATATATAACACATAGACACAAACTTTCTCTTATATATAGAATCTGCCTTCTCGCTGTGGTGATTTCTTTTGATACAGACTCTGAAGTAAGAGTCCAGAATATGAAATTAAGAGTAGCTTGTGCAGTTGGGAAGCCCCTGAATTTAGAAGCCAAATGCCTGGATTCAAATACTGAGGTTTTTCCTTTATTACCAGATTTTCCTCCGAGAAGTCACTTGACACCTCTTGTGACGGTGAATATTGAGTGTCAACTTGATTGGATCGAAGGATGCAAAGTATTGTTCCTGGGTGTGTCTGTGAGAGTGTTGCCAAAGGAGATTAACATTTGAGTTGGTGAACTGGGAAAGGCAGACCCACCCTCAATCTGGGTGGGCACCATCTAATCAGCTGCCAGCACGGCTAGGATAAAGCAGGCAGAGGAACATGGAAGGACTGGACAGGCTGAGTCTTCTGGCCTCCATCTTTCTCCCAAGCTAGATGCTTCCTGGCCTCGAACATCAGACTCCAAGTTCTTCAGCTTTTGGACTCTTGGACCTACAACAGTGCTTTGCCAGGGGCTCTCGGGCCTTTGGCCACAGACTGAAGGCTGCACTGTTAGCTTCCCTACTTTTGAGGTTTTGAGATTCAGACAGGCTTCCTTGCTCCTCAGCTTGCAGAAGGCCTATTGTGGGACTTCATCTGGGGATTGTGTGAGTCAATACTCCTTAATAAATTCCCTTTCATATATAAACTATCCTATCAGTCCTGTCCCTCTAGAGAACTTTGACCAATACACTTCCACTGAAGCACACCTTCTACACGGGGAAGACAGACCCGCCTCCAGTGCCCACTGCCCTGGTGGCTCAGCCAGAGTGGCACCACCAGTGGGCAGCTGAGTGGGCTGCAGGGGAGAGCCCAGAGGTGGGCAGAGCAAGTGCACCCATGGCTGCCTGGGACCAAGTGATGATTAATGGTAATGCCTTTGATATCATGGTGTCATGGAATTTTTTGGAGAAAGACATACCTTCGATATCATGGTGTCATGGAGTTTTTTGGATTTGAAAACGTTTTCTTATAAATGTCATCTAAAGGCTGTTTCTGTCATAATCTAACCCAGGAAATAAATGTATCAAGTATTTTAGGATGAAGTAAAGGTCCCGAGAACATTAAATAACTACACTGTCATAATTGTCGGTTGCTTGACTCTGAATAAAGCCAAAGAATATCCAATGGATACAATGCAAGAAGGAAAGACGACCATTTGCCTGGATCCACCAAGTAGGTGCTCAGGGGTCTGTGAAACCTGGGTGTGGGGAGCAGGGAGTCTGACCTCAAGTCCAGCCTGTGTCTTAGGATCTGCTGTGCAGGAACCATGCAGGGAGGGTGGAAAGAGAGTGGGCAGAGGGGGTGGGGAGGGGCTGATACTGGGCTCCAGGGGCCCTGAGGTGGGAGATCAAGGCAGAGGCAGACGGCAGAGTAGCCCTTGTGGCAGTGGGGTTGCAGCGCCCAGGCTGCCTAGGGCTGGATTTGCTGCCTGAACCGGAGCTGTCAACCAGGTTCCCTCTGCCCCTTCAACACATCCTACAAACGCACAGGCAGGAGTGCCTTCTCCGTGGGTACCCCACCCCATGCATGCTCTGTAAGTTCACACTCAGGTTAGAGTTTACATGATTATCTCTCTGTTCAAGACCACTTGGAAGAAAAGGAAGCCAATTTCCAAAGGCCTCAATTTCCAATTTCCCTTGAGGCCACGGGAAGAGTTTATAGCTCTTCCTGGAGGTGGCTGTAAAGTTCCGAAGGATCTTAGATGGAGACTGGGTGCTGGAGGTGAGCAGGAGATCCTGGAGACAGCAGATGCCCAGGTGTCCTGTGGCACCTGCTCAGGCACCCACCACAGAGCCTGAAGTAGGGGGACAGTCCAGGGCCAAAAACCTGGGACGGGTCCTGATGTGGGCACAGAGGGGACGGAGGGCCCACAGGGGTCCAGATTTGAGCATGGAGAGGATGGGGCCCTTGTGCGTTCAGGCTGCTGTCACTAAAACCACAGACTGGGTAATTTGTGGGCAGTCGGCATACCCTCCTCACAGCTCTGAGGCTGAGATATCTAAAATCAAGTTAGATTTGGTGTCTGGTCAGGGCTTCGAAGGGAACATCTTCTCACTGTGTCCTCACATGGAGGAAAGTGAAAGGCCGGATGACACAAGAACGCAGCCAGTTCCTCCAGCCTGTTCTACAGCACAAATCCCACCCCTCCAGGCAACGTCCTTATGGCCTAATCAACGTCTAAGGGCTCTTCTACAAAGGGCTGCTTTGAAGATTACATTTAGGGCCGCTTTGAAGATTATATTTCAGCTTGAATTTCAGAGAGACAACCATTCAAACCACAGCGGTGGAAGACCCACGATGCATCAGGAGCGAGCACAGAGAGGGTAGGGACCCACAGCAGACTCAGGTATGTGAGTGCAGAGTCCAGGAGACTCCATGGGTGTGGCACATGGGTCACCCCAAGGGGAGGCACCTGTCCTTGGATGTGTTGAGGCTCGCCAGCTGCAGAGTTGAATATGAGTTGGACAGAGCTGGGATAGATTGCCAGTGTATCAGTATGTTTTCATGCCACTAAGAAAGACATACCTGAGACCCGGCAATTTACAAAAGAAAGAGGTTTAACGGATTTATAATTCTGCCTGGCTGGGGAGACCTCATGGTGGAAGGTGAAAGGCACGTCTCCCATGGCAGCAGACAAGTGAAGAGAAGAGAGCTCGTGCAGGGAAACTCCCCTTGTTAAAACCATCAGATCTCATGAGACTCATTCATTATCACGAGAACAGCACAGGAAAGACCCACCCCCTAATTCAACCCCCTCCCACCAGGTTCCTCCCATGACAGGTGGGAACTGTGGGAGTTAACAATTTGAGATGAGATTTGGGTGGGCACACAGCCAAACCATATCAGTGAGGCAACCAGAGGATTCAACAGAGTTTAAGGAGCCTGACGGTTTCACAGAGTCTGACTATTCTGCGAGAGTGGCCAGGAAGCATGCAAGGTTCATGAAGCACCACGCTGTGGGCCCAGTTCCCCATGCTGCTGCACTGACCAGCAGCTCCAGCAAGCTCCTTCCACATGTGGCTTCAGCCCAGGTCCACCTCGCAGCCCAGGGCTGCAGCCTCTTCCCAGAATTATCTTCCTTTTTCACCAGCTCCTCCTCACTGGCATCGGGTCTGAATTCTTCTCATCCATGGTCAGATGGCAGGGCTACAGTCTTATAAATGATTGAATGACTCATGGGGAAACACAAGTTTCCAAGGAAAAATGTTTTAAAAAGAAAAAATACGAGTGAGTAATGAGGGAGAGGTAGCCCTACTAGATCTACAGGAATTACCATTCTGCAATATTGGCAGAAGAATAAAGAGCTTAATCATCGGAAAAGGTTCATTTTCCCAGAAACAAATGCTAATAGAGAAAAACTTAGTGAGTAATAATAAAAGGACAATTAATTCATAAATGATGTTGAAAAGTTTGTAGATTCGGTTGGGGGGAATAAATTAACATCCTTAATTCATACCATATACAAAAATAAACTGAAGAAGAATTGAATAGAAAATATAGACAGCTAAAACATTAAACATAACAATTTTTTTGGAAAGTGGAACATTTAATGGATGTGAGGAAGAAGAAAAGACTTTCTAAGCAGATAATTAATGGAAAAAATCATGAAACAAAACACAGACATTTGGTTACTATTCAGGATCAGCAACATTATCACC
The DNA here is from genome assembly GCF_000001405.40 of Homo sapiens. Classification (NCBI taxonomy): domain Eukaryota; kingdom Metazoa; phylum Chordata; class Mammalia; order Primates; family Hominidae; genus Homo; species Homo sapiens. The sequence continues at coordinate 3,541,879 of NC_000010.11, read as the reverse complement.
AAAGCACTGGCCTTCTCCTGGTTGCAACTTTCCTTAGTGCTGGTCCTGGCCTCTCCTGCAATCAACAGCCACTGAGCTCGACCCCAGGAGTAGCCAAGAGAAAGCCTTGTGCATCCTGAAATTTCATACATTGGGATAAAGTAAAAAGCCTAAGTCAAAAAACTGTTACTGTCAAATAACTAAAAGGTATTATATATAAGAAACTGGGAAACTACGTGCCACAAAGATTATTGGCAAACCGCTTCCAACGGAAAGACAGCCCAGTGCTTAAACACAGAAAATGAGAAATGAATAAAAAATTCCTCAACCTCACCAGTAAGGAAAAGAAACTCAAATTCTTACAACATTGAGATATCATTTTTTTTTCTTTTTGCCTAATAAAGGGTGCAACCCTTTTTTCTTTCTTTCTGTGTGTGTGTGTGTGTGTGTGTGTGTGTGTGTGTGTGGTTTTTGTTTGTGTGTTTAATAAAACTCCCCATTGCTGCTAGAATTTTTGGTAGATGAACAATCTCATTCACTCCTGGTAAAGTCTAAGAATTTCCAAAAAGTGATGTTCTGATTTGTAACAATAGATCTGAAATTATCCATGCCCCTTCATCGGGTAACTCCATTTCTAGGAATATATCCTAATAAATAATATGACTACCTATGAAGATTTATGGGCAATAATGTTTGTTCTAGCCACACGGAACTGTTAATATCAGAAATAGTCAACACCAAGAGAATGATTAAATAGTTTTGGCATATTGTTAAGATAAAATATTATGTAGTCACTAAAAATTAAAGTTCTGAATTATTTTCAATTATGTGGAAGGCTAGGTGAAAAAAAGGCAAGCTCTAACACTGTGTGGGCAGCCTGTTCACCCCCATGTAGATATAATTGCATATTGACTTTTCAAGCACAGGGAACAGCTACTCACATTCCCACAGCAACAAGGGCTGGGGGTACTTCCCACCCCCAGATAACTGAACAGTTGTTACGGCTAAGTTTACCTAACACATGTATTTTTGTTTCCTCTATTATATTTTATCCATATTTTCCAACTTTTCTCAAAGGCCATTTATCATTTACACCAAGAAGTCAATCCATAGGGTTTTCTAAAGAGGTATCTGTGATGAAGTGACTCAGGCCTATCCACAGCCCTCCTCTTCCTCCGTCTTATTTCTGTCCTTCTCTAAAGGGTGCCAGGGGACCCTCTAGCTTGGGCATCTCATTTTGTGGATGTGGGAGGTGTCTGTGGAGAAGACCCTCAGAGACGAGGGCCCTGTGTGTGTGGGGGAGAGTGGGGGGACTGTTTAAATGACAGTACAGGACCATGTATGGCCTAGAAGCATTTTCCCAAATTCTTCAACTGCATAGTTTTTTGAAGATTTAAGAACATGCAGGCACACACACACTGTTAAGGAGTAAGTTGTGTCCTTAGTTTTCAGGTGTTGAAGTCTGAACCTCCTGGGAAGGTGAGAACTGTGGTGATGAGGTCTTTCCAGAGTTAACTGAGTTAAAACAGGGTCATTAGCATGCGGTCTCGTCCAATCTGACGGTGTCTTTGTAAGAAGAGGAGATTGGGACACAGAGGGCGATGGTGTGAGGACGCTGGGAGAAGATGGCGTCTACCAGACAAGAAGAGAGACCTCAAGAGGAACCAACACCTTGTTCAGGACATCCAGCCCCAGGGAGTGTGAGAACCTGCATTCCCACTGTTGAGGCCGCCTGATCCACAGTGCTTGGTTGCCGCAGCCTTGGGAGATGCGTGCGCCAGGCTTCAAAGGCAGCTCGTCCCTCAGCACCTCTGCAAGACAGGGTCTAATGTCAACTGCTAAGGGGGTTTCCAGTTGCATCAACTCCATCCCTTCCTCCTTGGCCGTTACTGTGAATACACAGCCCTGAGCCTCTGGTCTAACCCTTGACATGAAGCGTGTGGCCTTCCTGTGAACGCCCCTGTGGTGAAAAGTGTGTTATCTCGGCATGACCTGTATTTCCCACATCCAGAGCCGAAGGAATGGGCATTAAAGTTCCAGCTCTCATGTCCTCTCTCTCCATGGTCCATTCCAGAGTCCACACCAAGGAATGTAGGGAACAGAGGCTAGGTTAGTGTAACTCGGCCTCCAGGGGCTGACGTGCCCTGGGTCAGCAACCGACCCTCACAACGATGCTCTGGACAGTGCTGAGGTTCTGCAGGTGCTCCGGCTTGATTTTCAGAGTGCTGTGTCAGGGGGAGACAGCAGAAAACACACTGTTTTCCTTAAAATCTCAAAGGACCGGTGGCCCCAGACACTCTGAGGCCACCAGGAGGCTTCATGCACGTCTCCAGGAGTGTGACATGTTTTCACGCCACATCTCCGTGCTCCAGCGGATTCATGAAGTTGGGAGCCCACTGCCGCCGCCTCTGGGGCTGCCTGGGGAGATGGGGCTGAAGAAAGTGACCTGCGCCTGGCCTGTGCCTGCTTGGAGGTTTCTAAGTGTAGACGAAGTGTCAGAGGAGTCCATGTGGGCTGAGCTCTGGTCTCCCAGGCACCAGCATCTCATTTCACTTACAGCACAATTCCAGGAAGCGCACGGGCACCACGAGGCCCGTTCCTCCTGCTGAGATCTCCCCTTGTATCAGCAAGTGTGACTCATGGCTTCCAGCTCTGACACAAAGCCTCTAATGAATGTCAGCTAACAAGAGGCAGAGTCATGGCTTTCTTTAAGTACATTCCAGAAAGTTCTGGCAAGTTTGAGAAAATTGTGATGCCACTAAGTCATTGGCTCTGACTGAGGCAGAGAACAAGCCAGTGAAGAGAGGCAGGGGTCGCGAGGCTGCGTGGCACCCGGGCCACACACGGGTTCCCGGAGGCGGCTGTCCTGCATGGTAACAAATCATTGGCTGCTTTCCACTCGGAAGGTCCACCAGGCAAACCTGGGGCCCTGATCTGACCTCCTCACTGGCTGAGATCACAGTGCCTGAATTCCCGTTCTGCAAAACCCGCGGTCCACAGCTGACGCTGGGAGAGAGGCTCCAGGATCTTGGGAATGGGGAGACGTTTTATGTAATCGGAGAGCAGAAATCTTCCTCCTGTGTTTGCATTAACTGATAATGCCTGGAGGGTTTTGTAATTCGAGTATGATTTGGTTGTTAAAAAGAAAACATCCATTTTATTATGTGTGTCGCCCAAATTCAAATCTCTGTCTTCTTTTCTAAAGAGAAAATATGCTAAAAAATGATGCCATTTCTCTTACAATACAGTGTTGTTTAGTCAGGAGCCACTTCTGTGAAGATCCAATGATGTAATCGACAAATATTTACTTAAGGACTAAATGAACATACATGGAAAATACCATATCTTTGATGTATAATAATAAAAGTGAAAAACAATGTCTTTGCTCTGGCGTTATTGGATAATGATGACAACAACATTGTTACACTTTGCAGTTACGGGCAATGTCTGCCCACTTCACAGGGTTTGTTTTTGCCTCTGGAGTGAGATCATGGGATTGAGATGCAGACAGCTCTGAAGTCGGGTTAGAGCAGCTTAGGAACAGGATGAAACTTCGGATAGGCCTCAAAACAGGGTCCCCATGCAATGAATGATGCATCGCATGAGACACACAGACACACAGACAGCAGCAACAGACAGGCTGGACCCCTAACAAACAGCAGACACACAAAACCAACGCCACCCGTGCCCGTGCAGAGGCTGCTGCTGCTGCTGCTGCCGCTGCCGCCCTTTAGGGTTTGTGGTCCCTGGTTCTGTCATCTGCCCTGCCACACCCCAGCTGAGTGGTTGGGGAAACTGGCAGCCTCACCTGTGCCTCAGTTTCCTCATCTGTCATGGGGTGGGAACCATCCTACCTCTCAGGGGTATTTATGAGCCAACCATATACGTAAAGGGCTAAATGGTGGCTGGCGTTTAGGAAGGCCTCAATTAGCTATAGAGGGAATGTATAGAAACAGAATTTAAGGCGCCCTGAGGTCAAATGGTGAAGGATGGGAACTGTGATGGGAGGCCACCTGTCCTAGTGTGGAGCATGTGGAAATAGGTAATTCAGTCAATGGCAGGGGCAGGTGTCTGCTGTTAATGGAAACCAAATAAGCATCTGGTCCGTTTCGTGCCCAGCATGGTGCCAGGCACTGGGAGGATACCAGAGCTTTGGAACGATGCTTCCTTTACAACATTCCAAGGCTGAAGTCAGGAGGACCAGATCTCTTTTAAATGATGTCATGCAAATACAGTAGAAATGCAGGAAAGGGCTTCCTGCAGAGGTCAAATTTTAATGAGGTATTAAAATATAGATAAAATATTGTGAAGAAAAGTAATTTGAATAGGCATAAGATCAGAAATTAAAATAATGGACCTAGACAGCACAGGGAATTAAATTATGGAAATGCCTAAGAGGCGTCAATCCCAAAATTGAGGCTCAAGTTAAATAATTTGGTCTTAGAAAAACATAAAGTTCAAAATATTGTACTGAACTTACACAAAAGCAGAATTTTTCATAGTATCTTAATTTCTTTTTTCGAACTCTATTTTGTCCCTAAATAGATAACTGACACAAATGTGCTGCTTCTCTTTTTGACTAAGAGTGGACTATTTTTAAGCCAAGATAATTCAGTTTCGAACTTTCAAAGTGTAAATTTGAAATTATCTTGGTAGTAACTCCAAAAAGCACATTAAATTATACACCGGCAACTACAGGCAGATTAAGGGTAGGCATTTCAGACTCGAAATACTGCTCTTGTTTTTTGTTGTTATGGCTTCATTGTTAGGGGACTATACAGGTTTTATATTTTATTTTCTTTATGGAAAGGTTTTTGGTTCAAAGGAGTTTTGCGTTTTCAACAGAAGTCATTTCATTTATCCTTACAGCTATCTCTGGAGGGTCTTGAAGAAAGAAGAAATTCTGTATTATCCAAACAGATGGTTATGAGGATCTACTTTCAACCTTCCACGTTATGTGCTGTGAATCAAGTCTTCACCCTACCATTTATCCATTGTCTCCAAGAGCTTTTGATATATCAGGAAATAGGGAAGCCCTACATATGGAAAAGTGTAAGGATTGTAGTGGTGAGATGTGTGTTCCAGACTCTCTGGATTCAAATCCCAGCTCTGCTACTCATAAGTAAGTGACTTAATTGCATTCACTTTCTCATTGGTAACATCGGGACAATAATAGGTCCTTACTGCCAGGGCTGCTATGAGGATTATAAGCAACACGCAAAAGGCATTTGGAACTAGACCCTGCTTGTGTCAAGAAGGCTACAAATACAAGGGATTTGGGTGCAGGGAAGTTAGGAGAGAACAGGGAAGGCTCATCAAGAGAGAACAGGGCAAGACTCACTGATGTGTTATTTTCATTCTGCAAAAATTTAACAAGTGATTACACAGCAGGAGCTACATTAAAGGCCCAGAATTTTAAAAGAATTAAAAAAAATAGATGAAGTCCTAAAAACTTCCTTGTGTATTTGAATAAAATGATATAAACAGTTCATTACAAGGTAAGGTACAATGTAATTAATCCAGTATCTTCAAAGCACTCTTGCAGCAAGGAGAAGGAATCCACGTTCAATCCACATAAAAGTAAACGTATGTTCCTACAGAGAAGTGAATGTTTGATCATGTTCTGTAGTCCAAATTCAGTATCAGAACATCCACATTAAAAAAAGGTACAAAATAGGCCTCAAGGGGTGGCCCCCCGGGCAGCGGTGGGTTTCTGCAGCAGGAATAAGATGAACAGGCTCCTGGCAATGGAGGGGAACATGGCCTGGCAGGGGTTTGTTCACAATCAGGTGAGGCTTCTAGGACAGCACATGGGCAGGTGTGTGGAAGGCCTTGGGAAGGGCACAGGAGCCCCCATGGCCCCACATTTGGTGTCCTAGGTCCCATCAACCCACAGACCACCTGAAGTGCCACAGTCTTTCAGTAATTAAGCACAGTATTCCCAGGCCTATTTTCTGTAGGATTTCAGCTCTGCCCTGCCTTGGTATAAGCTCTGAGGTCAGTGTGAGTGGGGGGCAGTGCCAACCGTGGGGACGGAGCCTGAGACCTGGTAGAGCATCCCCTGCCCAGGCCACTGAGAAGGTGCTGTTGGATGAGAAGGAAAGTTGATGAGAAAACTAGCCCATTTCAACTCCCAAGTGCAAAATTAGAAGTAAACTCTCCTGAGACCAAATACGGGGCAGCCCATGGGGACATTTGGAGGGCTCAGGGCTTCTACAGACAAAGGCCACCCTGGGGCCTCTGCTCGGGGCCTGTGCAGGCTGCTGAGCAGCACAGGCCACTCTAAGGGCTGCATGGAGCTGAACGCATCAAGTGTTCTGCAAGGCCTCGTCCGAGTGATTTGCACTGTTCCCGGGCACTCCAGCTCAGAGCTAAGTCCCGCTTCAGAGTGCTTACCTGCAGCCATTAAATAATTATCAGTGTGCAAGCTTTTAGAGTTAGGCTGTCGTGCTTGTATATTCTAAACATGCTTTCTGATTTTTTTTTTGCATCAAAGCAGATATAGGAAATATTAATATTTATACCACCCATGGGACACTGGGGTATGGCTGCTTCTAGCAGGAGGTCATCAGCCAGCCTCCCAGGAGGTTCAGCTCCCAGGCTCCGTCCAGCTGCCCAGTGGCTGAGGCTCAGCATCTCCACTGCCTGTAACCTACTCACGGCACACTGCACCCACGGCACACAGCACCCGGGCACCGCTCACGGCACAGAGCACCTGGGCACGGTGGCTGGGAGGCTCTGACCTCTGCAGCAGACACAGAGCTCCACTTCTTATTCTCTGTTAATTGATGCTGCCCTGTTTCATTTTAAGCATTGTTACCAGGTTCTTAAGACTATAAAAAATAAAAATTAAATAGCCCCAAACTAAACCTCACTTTATCAACCTAAAAAGAGATGTGTGTGTCCGGAGGAAATGGGATCTTTTCTCTCCACCTTTCCCATTTTTGAGTCCTCAGTGATGTGAAAAAAAGCCGGTGTCTGTTTAGAATACGATAACTAGAAGCTCCGGAGCGGAGCCAGGGGTTAATGAAATTCCGGGAAGCCAAGGAGCCCGTGCTCAGAACGGGCAAGTGCCATTTCTGTCTTGTTGATATTAGAGAAATGGGTGGTGGGTGAACAATGGGTCACAATACCCATAAAGAAGAATCCATGGGAGCTGCTGCGACTCTGCGGTGAGCGCTTTGCCTGTGGGACTCTTGAGGCTGGTCAGCTCTTCAGATGCACGAGGCCTGGTAGTCCAGGCAGGAATGATGATGACATCACTTTCTTCTCACCGTGTTGTCATGCGACAGGTCACAGCGGCCACTGTTGCCCCAACTACGGGCTGTTTACATTTCGGGGCAATTCAGTGAGCTAAATACTGTTAAGGTTCAAGTCCTTGTCCCTCTGAGAATCCCAAACCTCTCCGGAACCTTCAACAATTAAGATTCCTACCACAGTCTGCTGCAAAGGTCATGTTTCATTTCTAATATCTTAGAAATAACACTTTTCCCAGGGCGGGTCAATTTATTTTACAAGTTCTACTCCACTTTATTAAAGAAGAGGTGGTTACTTTTTAAAGCTTGAGATCTTTTTTTTTCTGGGAGTACAAATTTAGGAGCTTATTTTTCTTTATTTGTGAAATTTTTTTTGACTGTACAATGCAAATAAAACTTGGTAAAAAGTGAAACATAAATCCAAGTAAATGAGAGTTTTAGGCGTCTTAATTACTCATTCTGTGAGTAGTTTGACTCATTAAATTTATGGGACACCCAGCAGAGGCCAGGCCAATGACAGGTAATAAGATGATGGGGAGAATAAAATGGGTTAGGGTTATGGTTAGCGTTATGGTTAGGAGAGCTCACAGATTCATCAGGAGTGCACAGCCCAAAAAATTAGATTGTTTTTCAGTAAATTGTCTGGTTAGAGTACTACTGCGATATATTAGTCAAGATTGTTACCATCATACAGACTTAACCATTTCTTTCGTTTTCTAAAATGTATGTCCATGTGTGAAGCTCTGGGTGAAGCATAACGGAGGAAGGTGCAGGAAGGTGGCGCATGGACTCCATGAAGAGGATCAGGGAGGGCGGGTCGGGGACTCCATGAAGAGGATCACGGAGGGCATGTCGGGGACTCCATGAAGAGGATCAGGGAGGGAGGGGGGCACCTGCACATGTGCACTCACGCGTGGGGCAGAGACCAGCGCGTGGACAACCACGAGGCATTCCCAGAAGCAAAGAGGACATGAAGCTCTCATTTTCAACTCTGTAGTTAATGTATCTTCAAACTAAAACAAGAAAAAATATGCATTTTGCAACTTTAATTCATAAGGCTAGAGATTAAGGTCCCAAAACATCCTATCACAGTCAGAATGACTCTTGGGATAGGTAACTATGACTCAGATGTTTACTTTTGTCTAAACATATGCAAAAGGAAGTCAGGTTCCCCAGAGTAGAAAGCACTTCCAACCTGACAGTGTCCAGGTGTGGAGAAAGCGCCCGTGGACATATTCTAAGAGCTCCTTAGGCATGACCTTCAGTGCTCTCCCCTTCCCTCCAATCACAGACATATGTCTTTGAGGAATTCCAGGTCCTCCTGTCTTGAGCATGAAACGACCATTGATGGCCCTTCCCTGCCACCAGCCCATGGCAGGCACTGACCACAGTGCTGGGAGAACTTCTCGTGTCCCCCCAGTGCCTGAGCCTTATTGGATGAAAAGCTGTTGTTTTTCAGTCCCTTTGATTTAACCACCTGGGAACAGGGCTCTTGTCTCTGCCTCCTTCAGTTATGGAGACTGTTTATAGTGCCTGAAGGCTTTCCTCTCTGAACCTGACTTCCAGAATGAGAGAGGACAACAAGACACTGAGGAGGCAGAAACCTGTCCAGGTCATCCAAGGAGCCCAAATCCCTTGTAAATGCATTCCTCGCAGCAATGTCCCCAAGAAGGCCAGCATGAACGAGACAGGACACAAATGAAATCACAGCGTGCAGCCTGCTCCCGGCGACAGGAGCCATGCATGAGTCTCTTGCCGAAATGTGGGTGATGAGTCAGTTGAGGAAGCTCAGCTGGGCAGCCCATCCCCTTCGCACACAGTGGCAGCTATGCCAGCCACAGAGCCCTGGGGAGGACGGCGAACGATTACTGTGCATGACCTGAAAGGGATCAGAGACGTAAGGCAGGCACCATCCTGGCCAGGGTGGGGACAGGCAGGTGGGGAATCAACTGCTGGGTCTCACAGTGCCTACACTGCGGTTGCCCTGGGATCCAGTCAAATCTCAACAAAACAAGGAGACAATATATACAGAAGGGTATTAGTATTATAGTATAGTATATGGTGTAGTATACTGTAATAATAGAGTATATAGTATAGTATAATAGTATAGTATACCACACTATAATATATATAGTATATATATTAGTATATAGTATTATAAATATAATTCAAAAGATGTGCATCCATTCATTCCAGCAGTAATTCCAAGGTTTGCTGAGATCTTCCTGAGATCAATTGTGCAGCCTTTCCAAAGAGGTGAATATTAAGTCTCCAGTCCATACAGCAACTGCAAGATTAGAACAGCCCACCAGTGTACATCAAAGATTTATCTACCTTAAGCTTCTACAAAAGAAAACCTGTTTTTTTCTTACAGCAGTACATGCTGCCCATGCATAAACAATCAAAGTTAAACCGAGAAAAGATGGATACACATGGAGCTGCTACCGATTGGGAAAGGATTTGGTTATTTTATTATTTCATAATGCTGAGCTGTGATGGACCTGACGACATCTGAGAAAAAAAAAATTGCCCAAATGAAAAAATAAATAGCCTTAGAAAAAATGCATAAGTTGCGTACATCCAAATCCACACACACGCACATGCATGTATGCACATATGCACTGACATCCATGCACACGCATGCATAACATGCATGCACAACATAAATGCACACATAGGTGCACATGCGAAGAGATGCCCACATACCATGCACACACATGCATGCACACACATGCACACACATCCCTGAATACACATGTACAGCATACATGCACAACTTGAGTGTATACACGTGCACATACATACAGATGTGCACACATGTGCATGGATACACATTCACACACATGTGCACACACTATTTCTGTCTCTGGAAGGCAGATTCCTCCTTGACTATAAAGATACAGTTAAGTGTTGGTGGCAGCACTCTGGGTGCAGCAATGTGTGGAAAGAAAGGAGAGACGGCAGTTATAATTTATACAGCAGGAGGGACAACTGCCTTCTCTTCTGTATGAGTTCAAGCAACAGGGAGAGGGCTGTAGTAAGATATTTTTTAAAAACGATAAGAGTGATGTTGCCTCAAACAAGACTCAATGCTGTGACTAGGCATGAGAAAAAATAGAAATCTGTAGCTGTTTTCTCCCACTTGACAATTTCAGATGACTGTGTTTGACTCGGGGCCTTGTACATGGACGAGTATAAACTTGTTATGTGCAGAAATTTCTTTCCAGTTGCATGAAGCCTTATATCCTGTGCATCTCAGGTGTCCAGTCATAACTCTCAAGACCGGAGTAGCCCACCTCCTCTTCTCGGGAATTAGCCACAGCGGTGAAGGGTCTAGAAACTTCTCTGTACAACTAACAAGAGAGGGCAGGAGGATGACCCGGATGAGAATGAACAGGCTTAGAGGGAACTTAGTCACCCTTTTCAAATATTTGAAGGGATGCCAGACAGGAGAGGAGGCAGACTGATGCTTTCAATCACCAAAGGAAAGCTCTAGGAGCCAGCGATGGAAACTCCATGGAAGCGGATCATCACTCAGCAGAAGGAAGAACGTTTTAACCGCTGAAGAGCGCCAACGTTTTGGCAGCAGGGAGCTTCATGTCCCTGTGTAATGCCTTTGTAGATCTCATCCCCAAGCAGTAAAATTTACTGGCAAGCTAATTGAATTAGGGTCATGTTAACACGACACGTAAATATTCGAAAAATGCATCAAATCTAGTTGAGAAAGTAAAAGAATTTGACTATTTTCACAGAGTCTGAGCATTAACTCAATCCAATGGACTATATCACTAATACCTAATAGCAGGTGACTAAAGCTGAATCCAATGGACTGTATCACTAACACCTAATAGCAGATAATAGCAGATGACTAAGGCTGAATCCAATGGACTATATCACTAATACATAATAGCAGATAATAGCAGATGACTAAGGCTGAATCCAATGGACTATATCACTAATACATAATAGCAGATAATAGCAGATGACTAAGGCTGAATCCAATGGACTATATCACTAATACCTAATAGCAGATGACTAAGGAAGTGTTGATGGATCTTTGAGTCACACCTTGAAAACTCGAGCTCGTTGTCCGATTCATGAGCCTGGCCTCTGCTCTCTCCGGCTGTGTCGTCCACACCCCGCATGCTTGCCGGCTGATGGCAAAGCTGTCGCTGTGCCATGAAGGGGCCAGTGCAGACTGCGGGGATGGAGCTCAGATCCACTGTCTTGCTTTTCTGCACGGCCGCGAGGCCAGTGTGAATCCTGGGGTACAGCAGCATCCCGGCCCACATGCCCATCTTGATGAGAATTCTCTGGATAAGGGCAGCAGTCAAACAAGTGTGTGGCAAGTCAGGTGTTTGAAGTGAGAGAAGCCTATTGCCATTATCTCTGAATGAAACCAGAGCCCTCATTCTCAAACAATCCTACTTGGAAAAATATGACCTTAAAACATCATCACAACTGAAAGCCAACGAACTCTTGAACGAGTGCTGACTTTCCCAAATGCCTGCTTCGTTGGCTTTCTTGAAGGAGAAGCTAAGAAGTGGAACCTTGGCTATACATGAATGATGCCAACGACGCTAAGGAAACCCTCACTCTCTAACACAGGCTCCACGCCTAATTTACGTGGCCCCGGGAATCCAGCTACATCGGATTCAAATACAAGATCCATAGTGATGGCGTCTGCTGGGCTCTCTGCGTTTTGAATTCACCAGCATTTGAACTCATTCTTCGGGCCTCTGCTGAGATTTTCTTGTCTGACCAAGGGGATGCCAGCCTAACCGGGGAGAACACGAAAGAGAGAGTCAGCAGGTGCTGTCCTGTGGGTCAGGGCTTTAGGTGAGAGGCTGAGAGAGCAAGGCCAGTCAGAGGAAGAGGAGGAGGGAGGAGGACTCCCCAGGCACTCTAAGCTCTGCCTCCTGCTCTCCTGGGGCCAGAGAATGAATACAGGTCTATATTAACTTCAGGAATAACTTGGACCTAGATCTGGGAAGAGCTCGTTTGTGATGATGGTGTTTTTAATCACTTTCACTGTAACAGTTGGTTATTTTTAAAATAGAGCTTCCTGCTGTTAATCTTGGAATCTGCAGGAGAAGCAAGTTAGAAAACCTCTAAGAGACCATACAATGTTTCAGAAGGAAAATGCAGCAAAGACCAGCCAGTCAAGCAAGGAATTCCCATAAGTTCTATCTTATCCTTTTCCTCTGGGCTCCGGGACCTTTCTGCTATTCTGTTCTTATTCCATTTGTTTTATTATTTTTTTTTATGAGGAAACTGATCTCACAGCCACGTGCATTGCAGTACAGAAGGGATATTTGTCTAAGAAAGAAATGAGACCTCCCTTGTCCAATGAGATCACTTAGTGATTTATGCTCATTGAACAATTCTCTGTGATTCCAGGACTCTTGTCAGCTCCAATGCTGTGGGTGGTTTGACCCTGAGTGGGTCCAAGAAGCCACTGACATCACCATGATCAATACCCCGTGGAAAGTTCCTCTCTGCCTTAGAAGAAGGAGACAGAGGCCCTGATGTGTGGAAGGAAGCTGGCCCACTCCCACTGGACGCTGCTACAGCCTCTGAGCTCACCTGGGAGTTACCCGGGAGGGAATGTCCCCAACAGTCTCATCAGCATGAGGATAGAATTTTATCACAATGATAAAGTGTGATATGATCATTTGTCCTAGGGCACTGCTTAGAAATTGTCACTATCGGCCGGGCGCAGTGGCTCATGCCTGTAATCCCAACACTTTGGGAGGCCGAGGTGGGCGGATCACGAGGTCAGGAGTTGGAGACCAGCCTGGCCAATATGGTGAAACCCTATCTCTACTAAAAATACAAAAATTAGCCGGGCGTGGTGGCAGGCACCTGTAATCCCAGCTACTTGGGAGCCTGAGGCAGGGGAATCACTTGAACCCAGGAGGCGGCGGTTGCAGTGAGCCGAGATAGCCCCACTGCACTCTAGCCTGGGCAACAGAGTGAGATTCCATCTCAAAAAAAAAAAAAAGTTCACGATCTAAGACTTCTGTCACTTGAGTTCTATAACCATTGTATAAATGATCAGTGATGCCAGTCACTGGCATTCACGGCTTGTGTTCTGCCTAAATGTTCTGCCTAAATCTGGCTCTCTTTCTGGAGAAATCTCCACCCCACCCATGTCATCATCCCAATCTTTCGCTTCAGCTGCCTATAAATAGAATATCCTAATCCCATATACCAGCCAGGTCACAAGATGTAGTGAAGAAATCATTTGTAGTCAGAAGAAAAGAAATGTTGTATGCAAAAATTAAGAATAAAAATAAATTAAGGAAAACATACATGTTTCTGCCTGTCCTGATGATACACTTGCAAATTCAGAAAGTCAGCACACCTAAGGAACAAGAAAGAAAAAGACCACAGAGTGATTCAGGGACACATATTTTCAAGTGGAGAAGCGAAAGAAAAACAGCTTTAAATGTGTGATTGCACTTGGACTCAAAAGAGCACAGAATATTGGAAAGAGTAGGATCTGACTTCTTTCTAAAGACGGGAACACGAAACCCCAGTAAAGCCAGATCCTTATCTCAACAATTCTAAAAGGGAAAACCATATGGGATCCCAGAGGAGTGGACACACCCCAGGGCTGCTCACACGCACAGATGCTGTCACACAGATTTTCCTAGAATCTGTTTGTTTTGTGGACCGTTTTTCCCTTTAGTTAACTTGGGGTGTATGGAATGGAGGATGAAGTTAGCATTAAAATCATGGTGAGAGAGGAATAAACCAACAGCCCTGGAAGAACCACTGAGTTTTTAAAGGAAAAGTCACTTTAGTTTATGTTGCATTCACTTGTAGCCCCCTTCTAGACACTATCTTATTGCAAAAATGGTGGGAGAAAGGGTAATACACTCATACACTCATTTTTTTTCTTTTTTTTTCATTTATAATTAATGCCCCCAGCTGCCTGTAAAATGGGTTTGAGGTCCCATTGGTCCTGGTTAGTCGACCAGCTGGGAACTAAATTATTAAATAATCATTTGAAAATTAAATAACTTTATTTCATTTCTCCTTGTACTAGGACTCATTAGTACTTTCCATGGCATTTCAAATTTTGATCTAAACAGCAGTAATAACTATCTTTAGATTCCCCAAATATTGTAACCCCAAAGTTATTTCATCCTGACATACTGGATACAGATGAGAGAAGTCTCACATCTAACATTTAACAGGCTACTGTCCTCCCAGGGAGGGGAGCGTCTGCACCACAGCCCTCACAGGCACCAAGAAACATTTAGCAGTGCAAGTAGGAAATCAGTAATAATGATAATAAATTTAGGTATGTGTTTGTGGGTTTGAGGACAGACTTATTTTGAGAAAACATATACTGTCATTGGTTGGATATGAAGAAATGGAAATAACAGGACTAAGAAGTGTTTTAAAAGGATAAGTATGAGGTTAGTGGTTTACCCTGATACTCAAAGTTTGCATCAGTTAAAAAAGCTGGAGTAGAGACAGAAAAAAAGGAAGATATTTGAAACTGGACAGAGCAAAGTTTGATCTCAAAAGCAAAAAGCCAGTTTTGAAAAAGATTTAGAAGTTGCTCTGGAGTAAAAAATCCTTCTTCTTTGACTTTGAAGCATTCATTTTTCTCCAGGGAAATTAGAAATTTCTTAGAAATGACCTCTGTTGGAGCAGCACCATGGAAAAATATCTTCACCACAAACAACTCCGTTTCTCAAGTATGCAGAGCCATTGATGCAAAATGCATTTGACTCATCGTTGGAAGAGACGTTATATTTAGTGGTGGAGCTGGTAGGATATTTTTAGAAATAGTAAAGTTCACAGAATTTTTAATGTGTTGAAGGTCTTTAGAAGATAAGGTTTTTAGGGGATGTGCAGAAGTGGCCATTCGCCATCAGGACTTGAAGGCCTCGTTCCTGCTCCATAGTCACTGGATGCCTTGATATCCAGACCCCGAGACACGCCTGCAGGTCATTTCACGCTGGATATGGGGTGAGGTTCAAGCCCATCCTTGGGGTAATCTGGGGCTGGATGTGTAACATCCCAGGCCGCTGCAGATTTCTTTCAAGAGCCTCCAGTAACACTTAGTTCTTTGGAGAAGAAACTATCCAAATTTCAGAGCCAGAAGGATATCAACAATCCATAGCCATGGGCACCCATCTCAACTGGAACTCGAGGACACTGAGGCACAGAGACCCAAGGGCCTCATGTCAGGCAGCCCAGAGCACTGATGGGCCCCCAGGCACATTCCTTGCAACAGGGCTGCTCTTGTTTCTCACTAGATGAAGTGAAGGAACCAGGGTGCTGCGGAGGGTGGGGGAAGCCCTCGCCACATACAAGAATCATGCATTCTTGGTTGAAGCTGGGCTGTGGCTCCCTGAGCCCTGTGCTATCCGGTCACCTTGCAGCTTTCCACTCATACTCGTACAATTTTCCATGGGACAGATTTAAAAAAGTATCACCCTTCTGAGGAAGATAAGTCAGATGACCCCCAGCTCTACCCTTCTGGGAACTCATCTGTCCACCCTGGCTCTCTGCTCCCACAGGTTTCCCTGGCTTTCCTCTCTCGCAGAGCTTCACTGGCTCTCCGTTGTTTATGACTCACCATCTCAGTTGCAGATGTACTCTTCCCGGACCGTAAGTCACTCCATGTGATGAGTCACCATCCATGTTCTCCTGAGGCCAGCCACTGCTGCTAGTGTGCATGCAGGACGAAACCGAGGCACAGCCATGCACAGAATCCACCTTTCTCTCCTTTAAAAAGGAAGCCCTTATTTCTTTTCTCTATTCCAATCGCTTTAGATGTGGAAGTGGTTTTTGGTTACGTGGATGAACCGTATAATGAAGTCTGGGATTTTAGTGCACCCATTACGCGAACAGTGTCAATTGTGCCCATTTTGTAGTTTTTTATCCCTCACCCCCAGCCACCTTCCCCACTTCTGAGTCTCCAGTGTCCATTATACCACTCAGAAGCCCTTGCATACCCATGGCTCAGCTTCTACTTAAAAGTGAGAACATACGATGTGTGGTTTTCCATTACTGAGTTACTTCACTTGGAATAACGGCTTCCAGTTCCACCCAAGTTGCTGCAAAACACATTATTTCTTTCTATGGCTGAGTGGTATTCCATCATGTACATATATCACATTTCCTTATCCACCCATTGGTTGATGGGCACTTAGGTTGGTTCCACGCCTTTGCAATGGTGAATTTTGCTGTGATAAACATACATGTGCAGTTCTCTTTTTGACATAAGGATTTCCTTTGGGTAGACACCCAGCAGTAGATTGCTGGATGAAATGGTAGATCTACTTTTAGCTCTTTAAGGAATCTCCATACTATTTTTCATGGGGGTTGTGCTAACTTACATTCCCACCAGAAGTGTATACGTGTTCCCTTTTCACCACATCTGCGCCAACATCTATTGTTTTTTGTCTTTTTAATTATGGCCATTCTCATTGGGGTAAGGTGGTATCTCATTTTGGTTTTAATTTGCATTTCCCTGATGATTAGTAATGTTGAGCATTTTTTTTCATATGTTTGTTAGCTGTTTGCATAACTGCTTTTGAGAAATGTCTATTCATGTCCTCTGCCCACTTTTTGACAAAATTATTTGTTTTCTTTTTGTTGATTTGTTTGAGTTACTTGTAGACGCTGGATACAAGTTTTTTGTTGAATGAATAGTTTGCAAATATTTTCTCCTATTCTGTGGGTTGTCTGTTTACTCTGCTGATTATTTATTTTGCTGTGCAGAAGCTTTTTAGTTTAATTGGTCCCATTTATTTATTTTGGGTTTTGTTGCATTTGCTTTTGTGGTCTTTGTCATAAATTCTTTGCCTAGGCCAATGTCTTGAATAGTTTTTCTTAGGTTTTCCTCTTAGGTTTTATGGTTTCAGATCTTTGATTTAAGCCTTTAATCCATCTTGAGTTGCTTTTTGTCTATTTTGAGAAATAGGGATCCAGTTTCTGTCTTCTCCATGTGGCCAGCCAGGGAAACACTCATTTCACTCTGATTCAACAGCAACTTATAAAGCCAGAAAGTAACAAGGAAGTTAAAGATTTCTCTTATCAACGTTTCACTCTCTGCAAATTGACCTTTACAGAGGTAGTTCTTTTAAGGTACATAAAAAAAGAGATCCTGTACAAATGAATGTGCCAACAAATTACATTGGAGATGTATTCTAAAGCCATCTCTAGGTCAAATGACTTGCCTTTGGTATTTTGAACTTTTTTTTTTAAGATGGCATTTTGCTCTGTCACCCAGGCTGGAGTGCAGTGGCACAATCTTGGCTCACTGACTGTAACCTCTGCCTCCCAAGTTCAAGCAATTCTCATACCTCAGCCTCCTGAGTAGCTGGGATTGTATGTGCGCGCCACCACGTCCAGCTAATTCTTTGCATTTTTACTAGAGATGGGGTTTCACCATGTTGGCCAGGTCTGTCTCGAATTCCTGACCTCACGTAATCCAGTAATCCACCCACCTAGGCCTCCCAAAGTGCTGAGATTACAGGCATGAGCCATCGCATCCAGCCTTTGGACTATTTTTTCCTTACTTGTTTCCCATTCCATTGTAATCATTTACCACACTTTATTTATTTATTTATTTTTACACAACTAAGATATGAGCATATCACTGTACTTTAGATCTAATTAGTTATCTGAGATGTAAATAAAGGCTTTGATTCTTTGGACTTGGTAAGGAATGTCTGAAGATTCATAGAACGTGCTTCATCATGAGAGCTACAAAACAGGGAATGCGAAACTGCCAACATACAGTGTGTTCACGGACGTGACCCATCCAGACCAGATTCCTATTTCCAAGTGGGATTCGGAGCTGCAGGTCACATCTGAGCTCTGATCAAATGCGGAATAAGAGCTGGCCACCCATCTGCAAGTTCCTGGGTTCTCCAACCATGTACTGAGCACAGTGTTAGAAATCCTGGCATAACTCAGGCTTTTGAAAGTTCAGATAGCTCTACATGTATTTCGATTTTGTTTCCGAAAATAGATTCAGGGAAAAAAAATCACTTCCGACCACCAGCACAACAAAATTGACCATGCTTGGTTTCCTGATCTACCTCAATAGTGAGACCAACATAGTTTTATGTGACTGGTGGTTTTGGTTTCTCATCCTATAGGGTAGAGCCACTTTATGGCACAGAGGACTCAGTCGTGTGAATAAGCATCAAATCTATGAGATTCACTTCTACACCGTGCCCATACCCCACCGAGATCACGCTACCTCACCCCAGCCCCCAGGTGGTCTCATCAGTAAGTCACAAAAAATTCCTGGGAAATTTGGGGATTGGCTAGTGTTACCTACAATCTTGAGAGGTCATTTAAATGGACGTATACCAAAGAGTTGGCCAGTGATCCTCACTGCATTCAACTTCAAGTTGTGATAAGCAGGAGAGAATGCAGGTGCCTTTAGAGTGGCAGGCTCAGGACCTGGGGCCCTCTTCTCATTTGTCACAAAGGCCCCTCCCTGGGTGATGGGATCCAATCTCATGGCTTAAAATCGTCTGTCAAACTTACATTTCTCTTTTAGACCTCTCTCCTACATTCCAGGTCACACATCAGACCACTGATTTCACAGTCCCAGGTGGTCCACTTGCATCTCAGAATCCCAAGCTAATGACCGTTCGCTGCCACACTGCACACCTTCCAGCCGTCCCCACTTGTACCAATGGCAAGTCCATCCTTGCAGATACTCAGGACAGAGATATGGAGTCGATGGTGACTCTGTCTCCGACACCTCCATCTGAGGCATGAGCAAATCCCACACATACCCAGATCCCAGCGCGCCTTCCCGTTGCCGCCAGAGTTACTGCAGTGGTCTTCTAGTTAGTTTTTCTGCTTCTACCCCGTAGCTGATCAGTCCATTCTCAATGCAGAAGTCAGAGCGCTTCCTTAAATTTAAAAACAAGTCAGCCAGCTGTGGTAGCTGGCAGGGTATGAGGAACAGGCAGCCATGGGCTGACTGTGTCTCTCCACCCCAGCGTTTGGCGTGTAGGTGGGCATGGAAGGACGGGACTCGGAGGGTGGCACTGAGTGATCGTCTGTCTCCCCCGGTGAATCTCCGTGCAGACGGTAGGATTCTTTAAAGGAGAGAGATGGGCGGATTATCAGCCATGTTTTCATAACCCACACAAAAATACTTCTACTATTTGATAGGGTTTGTCCCAATCTTCGTTGATTCCAAATATATCATACAAAAGAGGGAAAGTGCCTCTGAAGACTAAAGCTCCGCAGTCAATGGATGCATGCATGACAAATTGCTATTTGCAGGTAACAGGGCAGCGCCCTCTTTCTTTTCATTCATTTCCCTGCCACTCTGGAGTGGGATTTCCACAGCACAGTATTATCTCCATGATACAATATTTCACAGAAAAGACGCTTCAATGCTGATCAATCTCTACACTTGCCACTATGTAAGTACAATGTCCAGAAGTTTTATGCTTGAAGAAATGGGTCTTCTGCAATAAAGCACTATTCATAGGACACCTTATCATGTAGGCATCCGAAATGTCTAATACAAACACCAAAGAAAAATAAACAGCTCAGTCACCAGGAAAATCACACACAATAAAGTCCAATTTATTTAGAAGATTAATGGCATCAAGGGTAACATATTCTCTTTATTTATAAAATTTTATAGATAAATGGTACGCCCAGAATAGCTCCAGATGCCTAACAGAGTAAGAGAGTATCTGTTTTCTTCCAGAGACATATTTCATAAGAAAGTGAAGGAATAAATCATTTTTAAAACGGTAACATTGTTGGGTGAACCTAATTGAATTATTAAAAGGAAGCCCATTTTGAATTGCTTTAAATGCTTTTTTTACCCATCACTTCACCATCTTATACAGTCTAATATAGACTCCATTTTTAATTTTGTCTCCTGCTTGAAGTCAACTTTTCAAGCAGAAAGGAAACTTTGCAATCACTTGGCTCAACCCATTTTTCAGTTGACCCAGAGTTTACCTTGTTTTCTCAAGTTTATGGAGCCCATAAGTGCTGGATGGGTTTCACTTACTGTTACTCCTCTTCCTTAATGCCCTCGGTGTTCTGTGATTCTTATTAGTATCCAGCCCCTGTCCTTTGCTGTTTGTGTGGCCTTGGGTTTTCTAATGGGTTGGATGAGTCAGTTACAAAATCTCAGGCCTCCAACTCTAGAGTTGAACTTTGCAGAGTCTCTCAGACTCACAAAGACCCTTTAATAAACAAACTTTCCCTAGCTTAATGGAAGTATCTGATTCAACCAAAATATTAGAAATTAATCATGGCATGTATTTCTTCTTTTGTTCTACTTATCAATCAATTATTACTTCAGTAATATTTCTTGCATTGTTTTTAGTGAATTCAGCATTGATTATTTTTTATTTCTCATCCATCCAAAAGCACCTCTGGAGTGGTGTGATGTGCTGTCTACGTGGTCCTGCGTCCTTACTGGGTCAGCTCCTGGATATTTTAGAGAGCCCTCTGTCTGCTAACAGCACAACAGTTCATTTCTTTCATAGCATCAGAGTGCTGTATTGGTTCTTTGGCATTCAGTACAACAATTAATCATTTGCGAGGCTGACATTGATTGTGTGTCCTTACGTGCATTGTGTTTTCGTGTGCTGCCCTGTGTTTCAAAAGAGGCCGTGAGATGGGGAGGCATGGCCTTATTCACCACGGGGCACCTACCTCGATGCTAAGGATAATCAAGCATTAGTCTAGTGGATAGTAACATGGCAGACGCAGAAGACTGAAAGGAGGGTGAGTGGAAGATGTAGACTGCCCAAGGCGAGGCATTCCACGGAAGAGGCCTTGAGTTTGGCGTCACTGTGGTAATTTTTCTATGACTCGCATCTGGTTTTCAGCCATTTCACCTGGGAATTTCTCAAGAATGATGATTATAAAACACACTAGAGAGTTCTAGCTCTGAATATCTCTCATAAAGAAAAGCACCATTTGATGACTTAGATATCAGTAGCTGCAAGTTATGGCTACTTTTACTGAGAGTCAGGCGAAATGACAACATTCCACATACAGCTTTCTGCAAATAAGTCTTATGCTGGAAAACATGGAAGAGGAGCACTCTAGTAGGGCTAGATATCTAGCACCAAAGCTCAGGCTCTCTCGCCATTTTGCCACAGTGGATCTTCCACCAAAACTACCAATAGCAAACTCACACCATCCCAAAGAAGGTAGAATAATATTTGTGAGCATGTCACGTGGGTGAGGAAATTTCATATGCATTATCTAATTCACTTCTTTTAGGAAGGTAGCATCTTCTCCATTGTAGAAATGGGAGAACCTTCTCAAAATTACACAGTTAGCAAGTGAATTAATACAAATACATGAAGGCAGGCTCTCCTGAGTTCCAGATATAGTCGAAGTGAGCCATGAGAAGGTCACTAACAGAACTCGTGCAGTAATTATATCAACTTAAAATGCAAAAGAGACAGGCTGAGAGTCATCTATTAATGTCCTTAAAGAAAACTTGGGCTGGGCACGGTAGCTCATGCCTGTAATCCCAGCACTTTGGGAGACTGAGGGGGGTGGACCACCTGAGGTCTGGAGTTCGAGACTAGCCTAGCCAACATGGTGAAACGCTGTCTCTACTAAAAAATACAAAAATTGGCTGGGCGTGGTGGTGCGTGCCTGTAATCCCAACTACTTGGGAGGCTGAGGCAGAATAGCTTGAACCCTGGAGGTGGAGGCTGCAGTGACCTGAGACCACACCATTGCAGTCCAGCCTAGGCAACAAGAGTGAAACTCCATCTCAAAAAAAGAAAAAGAAAAAAGAAAACTCATGCTGCCCGGGAGACAAGAGCAGGTATCTCAAGAAGAAAAGCCTAGAACAGGCCCTGGAAGACGTGTTGCTGTTCTGCTCTGTAGATGCAATATTGCTGGGGATGTTCTGCTCTGCAGATACAATATTGCTGGGGATGATTTAAATTAAACCCCTTTACTCTGTGCCCAGCCTGGAATGTCACCCTCAGCCTTTCACTGGGCATGGCTGGGAAACATGGAAACTGCTATGGGGGCAGCCCCTGATATTTATGGACATGGATGGGACAAATCACACCGGAAAAACTTGACATCTTCTCGCAATAGAATTGTAAGATTGTTAGAAATGGGAAAGACAATACATGACATATATGTTTGTTTTAGTAATAAAAAAATACATTATTTTCACGACATTTTCCTTTATAAGGAAATTCCAAATGGTTTGAGAACGATCACCATCACTTGTGTTTAAAGTAGTTACATTGTGGTGAACAAAGAGAAATAATGAAAAAGCCAACGGAATGATGCCTCTCGGAAGTAGCGAAATATGGTAATGATGAAGGGTGAAACACGGTAACGATGAAGGGTGAAATACGGTAACGATGAAGGGTGAAACACGGTAACGATGAAGGGTGAAATACGGTAACGATGAAGGGGTTAAGCTCCAGGATGCAAGCATTTAATCGAAGACAGGAAGAGGAAAATGCACAAGATAATTTAGAACAATGATTTCAAACAGAATGAGAGCAGATAAACTCAAGAAAGGAAGCTTAAGAGACCGAATCAGAGATTATTCCCTAAATGAGCTCAAATCTAAAGGTTCCTGAAGACACCAGCCAGGTTAAAATCACGTGAGTAATGCAGGAATACAGGATATTTTTCATTTCTATTTTCTGTTTTCCTAACAGTGAGCCCTGCTGCCTCTTGCTAGGTCAATATCCAAGGCAAGCATCCAGTACAATAAGCCATCCTCCTGCGAGTCACGGGCTGGGCATTCACTTGCCTGGGACACCTTGAACATCTCCAACCCAGGCTCTCATCACCATCTCACCATGCCACTGTAAACACTGAGTTTAGTTTTTAATTTCTGCCACTAATATCATTTCTTCTTGTTTATTCAGTGCCAATTTTCTCTTTCTACTAGAAAAAATATGTTGGAAGGCTCCTATTCTCTCATGTAAAAAATAAAAATAATTATCCTTTACCTTCAGCAACTTTGTTGGGAATTAAAGCGGATGAAATGTCAACAAAGGTAACCTCATCTTTAAAAAAAGATGGGACAGGGATTTGTTTTTAAGGCAAAAGACATTCATTTATAAAAATGCCTACTTTTTTTGTATTTTGAATATGTTACTCAACGCCTCAGTCATGATCCTTTGAAATGTACCACAAAAGATTTAACACCAAGAGACTCCCCGGCTTTCTTCACAAATATATGAAATTAGAAGGTAGTCATACAAACTTAAATCAGAAAGACTTCTCATAGATTACAAGCCAAGTGATACAACTTTCTCTAATGGGTCAAATCTAGGAACTTGGCTATCTCTGATCTCATATCAAAGGAATTTCATGGAGACAACCACCGTGTTAGGAGGAGCCCTGGCTAAGTGGACACAGAGGCTCACAGGAGAGAGCAGTCTACGCCCCCTCCCATAGCAGTCCAGAGGCGGCCCAGGTTGTGGAGGGACTGCTCCTGGAGGTCACCCTGAGACCTCGGCCCCTACCCTATGGTTGCCCCACCTCCTGCAGGATGTCTTTTCTGCTTTGCAAAGTCAAATCTGCCCCCACCACCAAGCCCGTGACCCAGTCTGCAGCCAGAGGAAGGAAAACATAAAGGCATGTGGAGACTCCCTGAGCTCTGACCTTGCTCCTTCATCTAGAAAGCATTTGTATTCGTCCGTTTTCACTTTGCTGATAAAGACATACCCAAGACTGGGACAAAAAAAGAGGTTTAATTGGACTTACAGTTCCATGTGGCTGGGGAGGCCCCTGAACCACAGCAGGATCAAAAGGCACTTCTTACATGGTGGTGGCAAGAGAAAATGAGGAAGATGCAAAAGCAGAAACCCCTGACAAACCCATCAGATCTCATAAGACTTATTCACTATCATGAGAACAGAATGGGGGAAACCACCCCATGATTCAAATTCTCTCCCACCGGGTCCCTCCCACAACATGTGGGAATTATGGCAGTACAATTGGAGATGAGATTTGGGTGGGGACACGTCCAAACCATATCAGAAGCCACGAGCTCCTACCCAGATCTACCTGCCAGCATCCAGAAGTGTGGAGTGGAGGGGGTGGCGCTGAGAGGGCAAGGTCTGTTACTAAGAGAAAAACAGACGGACGCTCTGGGGTGACAATTACCCCTCCGGGTGCAAAAGCATAATAACTTAAGATCAAGATGATGTGGTCGGGACCACTCAGAAACGAGTGAAATGGCCACTTGAAATAAGCTTGTGTTTCATTTTCTAATAAGTACAGGAAGCTTACTAAAACTAGGAGGCGGCAGAAAAGTGGGCATTCATGCCCCGGATTTTTCTTTGTCAGTGTTGCCGAAATGCATCTGTTGCTCTCCAGCCGGAAGGCACCACTGGTCACTTCTCGATTCTGCTAAGCGAATGCTGGATGCAGCAGCCACGGACTGTCCCCTACCCTTCGGTTTCTCCCACATCGAATTTCTTACGCAGGGCAGGGCCAGCTCTCCTTCCCAGAGCCCTCCCCAAGCTGTGTGCAGCTTCAGGGCTTCAGAGTCCCCACCAAGTCCCAGAACCCCTGCGCTGCTGTGGGTCCTCCGTGTCCTGGCCCCCGCACCGGCCAATCACGGGATCTCCCCACGTGGCTGCTCACAGACTGCAGGCGACACGCGCCCCTGCACTCCTTTGAACGCATAGGTCCCTGCATCTTTTAATCCTTTGTTAAAAATGCTTTTCCTTTTTAATTCTTCTATACTTTTTGTTTGTGTTTGAAGTCCTTTTCCTGTTAATGACCTCACCATAGATGTTTCCCGTAATTGAAGACAGAACCACAAAGCCTCGCACACCGCCAGCCTGCATCTCATGCCCGTGAGTTTCTTATTAAAGTCTCACGTGATGTACAAACAGCTGTTTTCAGGGCACTTTTTACTTTAGCTCCTGACACAAAGCAAGTATAATGGCAAATCACTACTAAGCACCGCAGCAGGGAGAACTAACTGCTTTCAAAAATAATCACTCCTGATGGGGTTCCAAACAATATATATGTATATTTAGGGGAAAAAAATTCACCAGGAACATTCCTTTTTGACCAGTTGGTGAGACAGACCCAGCATAATGGCTTTCGCCCTGTGCATGGCTCCACATGACTTTGCCCTCAATCGGCTACTGCACCAGCTCAGGCAAGAAACAAATGCTCCTTTCAGAAGGCCGGGTCAGAGGGCAGAAGGTGCATTGGTAATTGGAAGCCTCTCCAGGCAGAGGCTTCACTGGGGAGCTGGCTGTGGGCTGGCTGGGGGCCGGCTGACGCTGCAGACAAGGACAGGTTTGTCCCACAAGCCTCCCTCTCCCCGTGCTCTGCTGGAGAACCCTGCACAGTCAGCTCTCAAGGCGCATCTTTGATCTCTCTCTCACACTTCAAAGGGCGTTTTGTTCCTTCCCTCCTAAAGTCTCAGTAATATTTTCCAGGAAAGACCCAGGATGGAGGCGCATTTCACTTCTGGGTGAATCAAATCAATCTACCACCTGGACAAGAGCCTTTCCTCCTGAAGCCCAACCTGCCTTTGTGGAGCAGAGGCTCTGGTTCCAGGCCCACAAAACTGTGGCCGCCTGTGAGTTGGGAGCAAGATATTCTTCTAGGTAGTAATGGGAGTAATCAAAGAGTATTGTTGTGTTACTGTATTAGACAAAAGTGACATCATGGTCTATAGCACGTCTAGAATGACGTTAAAAAATCAGCAAGGCACAGCCAGGCAGCTATGATTTTAAGAAAGGTAAAAACACACCAGGCCGGGCACGGTGGCTCACGCCTGTAATCCCAGCACTTTGGGAGGCCGAGGCAGGCGGATCATGAGGTCAGGAGATCGAGACCATCCTGGCTAACATGATGAAACCCCGTCTCTACTAAAAATACAAAAAATTAACCGGGCGTGGTGGCGGGCGCCTGTAGTCCCAGCTACTCAGGAGGCTGAGGCAGGAGAATCGCATGAACCCAGGAGGAGGAGCTTGCAGTGAGCCGAGATAGCACCACTGCACTCCAGCCTGAGCCAGACTCTGCCTCTAAAAAAAAAAAAAAACACCTTGAGTAAAGATGAAGAAAAAATTGAACCATGGGAGCCATGTTCATTGTGGGTGCCCGGAAACTGCCTTTCCTCTCCCTGGAAGAGCTTCAAGAAGGAGGTAAAACTCCAGTTTCATTCTGCGAGCATTCGTGGAGGTGCGTGGAAGGGGCTGAATTGAAGGGAGAAAGCCGTGAGGAGGACCAGGTCTCCACAGGAGCCTCCCGTTCCTCTATTAGATGCCAGCAGGGCAAGGGGTCTGTCACGCAGATCCCTTGGTTTCTAGCTGGTGTGTGTGTGGTGGTGGGGCGGGGGGCAGGGGGCAGGGATTAACTATTGAAAAGCATTACACGAAATGGCACCTTGCAGTGGTGTTGAAAATCACATTTGTGGATTTACGCTCCCTTTGTGGACAAGGATAGCAAAATTCCCAGAGGCCAAAATAGGAAACCTTTCATTTTCGCTTTTAAATTTACCTTTTTTTTTTTTTTTTTTTCTGGAGTAGCTCACGATATAGAACAATAGAAAACCATGCATTTGTTTCCTTGTTTTTTTGAAAGTTCACTGATAACAGAAACATTTAATCCATTAAAACTCCGGGTCTCGGCCCATTCCTGGCTAAGCAAAGCCACCTGTAAAGTTCATTAACTTTGCATAATTATCTTGCTGCTCCCTTGGCCTGCAGGGATGTTCTACTCTTCCTGGCCACACCCCTGGGCCAGGCTTTCTCATTCTGGAAGAGCCTCTGCAGCCCGCAGCTCCGGGAGGTCCCACCCCTTTCCCTTCCCTCTGGCTTCCCTGCTGGGAGCTCCCTTAAATTCAACGCCTTGCACCCAACACATCCTCTCATGTGTCCAAGTGTACGTGTGTCTCCACCGAGAGGCTGTGTCTTCTTCATCTTTCTGTTCTTCACACCTGGCATGGCAGTCCTGGAGACACACGCTATGAACCCAGTTAAATATCGGGGCACTGATGGGAAACTCTGTGTAAAGCCTGCTGTCTACTTGACTGGAGAGGACATGGACAAGGCATCTCGTGCTGGAACCTCATGCATACTCCAGAATCTGTGGCTCACAATCTGGGAAGCACAGATCAGGATGGGTCTAGGAAAGCATGGGAAGTAAGAAAAAGAGTATTGCTGCATTTTTGTATTAGACAAAGGTGATGTCATAGCCTACAGCACATCTAGAATAACATTAAAATAATCAGCAAGGCGCAGCCAGGCAGGTATGATTTTAAGAGAGGTAAAAACACCCATGAGGAAAGATTGAGAAAAAATTAAACCATAGGAGAGGCGGGTCCATCACGCATGCCAGGAAATTGCCTTTCCTCTCCCTGAAAGAGCCTCATAAAGGAGGTAAAAACAAAAAAATACAGAGCTTAAACAGAGGCTTCATGGAGGCTGAAGACGCCCCACCCCAGCCTGAAAACACCAGCACAGAATTTAGAGATTGTATTAGTCTGTACAAAACACCAGTTTTGATTTTGTCTCCTGCTTGGAGTTGACTTTTCAAGAAGAAAGGAAAGTTTGCAATCACTTGGCTCAAATCACTTTTCAGTTGGCCCAGAGTTTACCTTGTGTATTAGTCCATTTTCATACTGCTGTGAAGACATACCCGAGACTGGGTAATTTATAAAGAAAAAGAGGTTTAGTGGAGTCACAGTTTCATGTGGCTGGGGAGGCCTCACAATCGGTGGAAGGTAAAAGGCACATCTTACATGGCTGCAGACAAGAGAGAATGAGAGCCAAGGGAAAGAGGAAACCCCTTATAAAACCATCAGATCTCATGAGACTCATTCACTGTCTTGAGAACAGCATGGGAAAGACCTGCCCCCTGATTCAATTACCTCCCACTCGGTCCCTCCGACGACACATGGAGATTATAGGGAGCTACAATTCAAGATGAGATTTGGGTGGGGACACAGCCAACCCATATCAGAGGTTCCTCCATTATTTAGGTTAGGAAACTGGCTTTCTAAACCTGCACCTGGGATAGCTGCAGAACCCTGGAAGCTGCCATACAGCTCAGACTGGAAGCTCATGCACAGAGGGACTCATAGCTCACTCACAGCTGCTGAGGGCTTCCTGTAGGTTGGGAAGGTGCTTGATGTACTATTTTATGTAACTTTTCCAACAACCTTATGAGACAGGTGTTATTATTCTACCCATTTTATATATGTGGAAACTGCAACTCAGAGGGGCTGAGTGACTTAAGTTCTAACAGTGGGACCGGAACTCTAATGGGTGTTTATCCTTCTTAAAACTCCATCACCCTCTATAGGGGGAAGCACATGGTCCTGTGAGAGCTTCCAATGTCACACCCCGGTGCTCCTAAGAGCACTTTGTGGATCTCTCATCAATGCCTTCACACCAAGCAGCAACTTCAAAACATGCCTAAGTCACAGCAGAGAGGCTGCACCATTTTCCCTTTCATCACCTCTAGCAATTGGTAACCTCAGTGCAGGGGAAGACAGCTGGGAGAGAAGACAGGCCCCATCAGAGCCTGCCTCAGCCATGGTGTGGGAGGTGAGCCTGGAGCAGTCATTGAGTCCTGCTTCCCAAACATGAGAAGAATAGCTGAGAATTATCTGCACGGGCCATTTAAGAGCTAGCATCTTGGGACGGGGCATGGTAGTTCACACCTGTAATCCCAGCACTTTGGGAGGCTGAGGCAGGCGGATCACGAGGTCAGAAGATCGAGACCATCCTGGCTAACATGGTGAAACCCCGTCTCTACTAAAAAACAAACAAAAAAATACAAAAAATTAGCTGGGTGTGGTGGTGCGCACCTGTAGTCCCAGCTACTTGGGAGGCTGAGGCAGGAGAATAGCGTGAACCCGGGAGGCGGAGCTTGCAGTGAGCTGAGATAGCGCCACTGCACTCCAGCCTGGGCAACAGAGTGAGACTCCATCTCAAAAAAAAAAAAAAAAAGAGCTAGCATCTTACAATCTTTTTTTTTTTTTGTCTTTCTGAGCAATTAAGAAAAATGGTAGAATTGGCTCTATTTTTAATCTTAATTTTGAAAAAACAAAACAAAACAAAAAGAAACCACTAAACAGAGCCCAGAGCTGACTGTGCTGAGTGTTTACAGGAAGGTGTCTCCAGGCGTTGTGCTGCATGTGTCACGGACATATCCCATGTGTCCTGTGGGGGGCGCCTTCCTGTGAAGGTCCAAGGGCAGAAGAACATAGGGTCCCCCTGGGCTTATCCCCCTGGGCTTATCACTGACACCTGGGCTAGGAGGACGACCTTGAGGCACTTACAGTTTTGGCCATTTTCCAGAAACATGCCCAAAATCTCCACGGCAGATGCTTTTTCGATTCCTCTTCTCGACAGCTTTCACTAAAGCAACGATCCCCCATTTGTGATTTTTCCATAATTAAACGAAGACATATGGCCGTTCTACCTGCTGCACTTCTGTGTAGGTGCCTCGTGCACTGATAGCTGCGTTCGGATCTTCATCTCTCAGCCCCGCATGGTTTTTAAAATGTCGTAGCTATATTATTCATGTCTACATTATTTTTTTTACTTGCCTTTTCCAATGTAATCCTACAGATGTGTTCTGCCCTTTTGCAAACAAGAATATATTAGGCACATTCAGTTTTCTATTGATCCTGTGTCAGGCTAAGAAAATTAGAAAACGCCCTCTCATTCTAAGAATAATTTTGCATAAATAGGCAAGTATTTCAGGCAAGTCCATCTTTGGACCTGGTGCATGGTGTTTGTTCCAATGCAGAATCTTAGTTTCAATCCATTTTCTTCATTCAGTATGCAAGGAGATGACCCGGAAGTGATTGTGTTATTTCCCGTGGCTCCTTGCATGGATTCATTTGTCTTCAATTGCTCATATCAGTCCTCTATTGCATTCACCTCTTCACTGCCCAGTTCTCAAAGTCTGGCAGCCCTCAGACTTGGGCTGAGATGTGCAGGTACCTGGGACAGCTCAACACTGACCTAGAAGTGGCTTCCTGTCCTCTCTCTCGTCTTGTATAAAACCCACTGCCCCTAGCTGCCTCCAAACTATTCAAAATCCCTTCCAATACTTCGGTTGGTCTAAAGCCACTTATTAAGAGGAATTGCTTCTTGCACATAAAACTTAGGACTCAGTAGACCCGTTTTACAGAAGAACAGGGGCAACCCTGGCATCTGTATGCCCAACCAGCACCGAAGGTTATAAGCAACCCTGTTTCAACAGCCCTGTGTTTGTTTCCCATTGCTAATATAACAAAAACTTA
Source organism: Homo sapiens (assembly GCF_000001405.40). Classification (NCBI taxonomy): domain Eukaryota; kingdom Metazoa; phylum Chordata; class Mammalia; order Primates; family Hominidae; genus Homo; species Homo sapiens. The sequence goes on along the minus strand of NC_000010.11, from coordinate 3,511,381 downwards.
ATGGGTTCCAGCAACAGGAATTTATCAACCTATAGTTCTGGAAGTCAGAAGCATGAAATGGGTCTCAAGGGCTAAAAGGAGAATGCCAGCAAAGTGCATTTCTTCAGAAGTCTCCAGGGGAGAATCTGGTTTTTGCCTTTTCCAGTTTCTAGGCACTGCCTGCCTTCCTTGGCTCATGACTCTGAAGGGGAGAAAAATTATAGTTTATTTTCTCAGCCCTCATTCATAAGGTCTCAGTTGGGACACCTCTGTAACGAAAGGCAGGTTAACAGGGAAGAAAAGGCATACACATTTATTAAAGTGCATGCAGAGATGATAGTCGTACACAAAGTAGGAAACGCAAAGGAGGGCCCAGATGACTGAAGCCTTTACACCATCCTGAAGTTACAGGAAGAAGTGAGGCTTGGTGCGAGGTGAAACAGGCTATGGGAGGGCGGGAGGAGGAGAGTTGGGGCCAGCAAGGTCGTATGTGATGCAGACAAAACCTCACAGGAAGAAGCAGCTCTTGGGAAGTATAGATGGTGTCCTAGGGTAGAGGTCCCTATGTCACACCATTAAGAGTGTTAGACCTGTGGTCTCCTTTCCTGTAGTTAATCCTTCCCAGATCTGGGGAAGGGGTGCCTCAGAGAAAGCCTGTGTGCATTCGGTGTTTATGTCTCTGATGTAGGCAAAACATTTTCCCTACAGATGCAAATCTCCCCACACAAGACAGCTTGTCAGAGCTGCTTTTGTTTCATGCAGCCCTTCTGAATAGCTGTATCAAAATACGCCCAAGAAGTCTATTTTAGGGTGAAACATTCTGGGTTTCCATTAACTCCATCCTTCCATCTTCAGAGCTAGCAGCAATGCCCAGCCAGTCCCTCTCATGCCGGCTTCTTTTTCTGTTTCTCTCTCTTTCACCTGCCTGCTGCAATTTAAAGGACTGCTGTGATTCCTTGGGGCTCACTGGGGAAATCCAAGATAATCTCCCCACCTCACAATCTTTAATTTAAACACAGCTGCAGAGTCCCTTTTGCCATAAAGCAACACATTAATAGGTTCCAGGGATTGGGGCGTGGACATCTTAGTGGAGTGATTATTCAGCCAACCACAGTCTGTCCTCCGATGCCCAAAGATTCAAAATGCATTCACCCCCCATGCAAAATACATTCACCTATCTCAAGGTCCCCAAGTGTCTCCACCCAATACAGTGTCTACTCAAGTCCAAAATCTCATCTGAGTCTTATGAGTTCAAAAGTCCCAGATCTCATCATCTAAACCAGGTATGGGTGAGATGCTGGGCATGATCCAACCCAGGTCAAAATGTCTCTCATCTGGGAACCTGTGAGAATTGCATTTCTCAAAAAAGGAATAATAAGACTATCCAAGGTCTTCCCATACAAAAAATGCAGACAGGAAAGAATAAAATGAGTTCTCACTGGTCCTAAGCAATTTCAGAATCCAACCATGCAAACTCCATTAGGTTTCAAGGCCTGAGAATAATGCACTGTGGCTTGAGTCTCTGCCTCCTGCTGAGCCCTCGGCTCTGCCCTCACAGTCATCCTTCCATTTTTCCAAAGGCTGGCGTGGGTTTGCCGCTGAGTAGTTTCATCCACCTGTTTTCTGCCTGTGGAGTTTGGGGAGTCTGACAGTTTTCCTTCATTTCATCCCTTCTCTGTTCTGCTCATTTCAAGCTGGCAGTGTTTCTGCTGATAGAACATTCTCAAAAACCTTGTGGATCTCCTGCAAAGGCCACAGTAATTCACATCTGTAGACTGTGAGGGCTCTCTGCAGGTTTGTCCCCGGTGACCCCATCTCTACTCCTGGGCTCTGCTGCAAGGGCTGAGGGAGTTCATGAGTCACATGTTTAATTTACCCAAAGAGCCCTCGGTATGAGTGAACACTTTGACCTTTTGATCTTTCCAAGGCAGTAACGAAAGGCTGTCCAGCCATACCATACCCTTGACTTTCTCCCCAGAACATGCTTTCCTGACAGTGAGTCTCCTAATTTTGGCAGGTTTTACAATCTGGACAGGCTGAAAATTTTCCAAATCATCAAGTTCCAATTCCTTTTTGCTTAACAGTTATTCCCTGAGTTTATTGTTTTCCTGTCACATCTTACTAGAATCATTAAGAAGAAGCCAGTCCACACCTTTAACACTATGCTTGGAAGTCTCTCAGCTGACCATCCAAGTTCATCACTCATATGTCCTGCTTTCCGCAAAACAGTTCCTAAGCTTTCTGCTGCTGTAGGACACAATTCTTAAGCTTTCTGCTGCTGCGTGCACCTTCTTTCCTCCCGTTTTCATTAACATGCTTCTCCTTTTCTTCTGAGCCATCACCGGCAGCACCTCAAAGACTCATTTCCACCAACCGCTGGCTTGAGATGATGTAGGTGTCTGACCATGACACAGCCTCCTCCACTGTGCTCCTCACTCCCCTCTGACCCCCATGGGCAGGGCCTTTGACGTCTGGATTTCTTAGAGTCTCTTCAGGGCAATCTTGCCTTTATTGTCATGCTCCTTAAATTCTTCAGCCTTTGCACATTACCTGGTTCCAAAGCCACTCCCCCGATTCCAAAGCCACTTCCAAGATCTTGGTTGTTTGTTACAACAGCTCCCCACTTCCAGGGGCCAAAAGCTATGCAGGTTTCCGAAGAGCTGCTGTGGCGAATCATTAAAAATTTGGCTTCAAGACAAATTCATCATTTTACTACTCAGAAGGTCGAAAGTCTAAAATGCATTTTACTGGGCTGGAATCATGTGTTCTCAGGGCCACCTTCTTTCTGGGGACCTAGAGGAAAATCAATTTCCTCACTTCTCCGTTTTCTAGAAGCCACCTGCACTCCATGGTCCCTAGGCCTTTCCTCCCTCTTCAAGGTCCATTGCTCCAACCTCTGCTTCCCTCCTCAAGTCTCCTCTCTGACCCTGATCCTCCCACCTCCCTCTTACATAATAGGAAACGTTGTGATTAAATTGGGCAGATCAGATAACCCAGAATGATCTCCACACCTCAAGAACTTAAATCATATCTGGGAAGGCCATTGTATTATGTGAGGCAATACATTTGCAGGTTCTGGGATTAGGACATGGGCATCTTTGAGGGGCTATTCTTGCTTTTATTTTTTATTTATTTTCATCTTTTATGATTTTTTTATTTCAATAGATTTTTTGGGAACAGGTGGTGTTTAGTTACATGAATAAGTTCATTAGTGGTGATTTGTGAGATTTTGGTGTACCCAATGTGTAGTCTCTTATCCCTCACCACCCCCCACCCTTCCCCCCGAGTCCTCAAAGTCCATTGTACCATTCTTACGCCTTTGCATTCTCATAGCTTAGCTCCCACTTATAAGAATATACAATGTTTGGTTTCCCATTCCTGAGTTACATCACTTAGAATAATGGTCTCAATTCCATCCAGGTTGCTCCAAATGCCATTATTTCATTCTTTTTTATGGCTGAGTAGTATTCCATGGTGTGTGTGTGTGTGTGTGTGTGTGTGTGTGTGTGTGTGTGAGAGAGAGAGAGTGTGAGAGTGTGTGTGTACCACATTTTCTTTATCCACTCATTAAAGGATGGGCATTTGGGCTGGTTCCATATTTTTGCAATTGCAAATTGTGCTGCTATAAACATGCATGTGCAAGTATCCTTTTTTTAGAATGACTTTTTTTCCTCTGGGTAGATACCCAGTAGTGGGATTGCTGGATCAAATGGTAGTTCTACTTCTAGTTCTTTAAGGAATTTCCACACTGTTTTCCATAGCAGCTGTATTAGTTTACAGTCCCATCAGCCGTAAAGAAGTGTTCAGCGGGCCTTTCTTCTACTGACCACAATACTGCACTCTGCTCTTCTGATATTTATGTAGACAATAATAAAAGGAAAGTTGGGCAATGAAGACTTTCAGATAATTAAAGTGTGCTAAAGTCCTTGTGCTGTTCCAGACAAGAAAAAAGAGACCAAGTTTGCACTCTGTTAGAAAAATACAATCTTGTTATAGAAAAATAACCACTAAACATTTAAAGATAGCCACTAAAAGATGAGAGATACCAAGTCAGTGGAGAAGACAAGACTATGGAATAAAGGAAACTCTATCAAAATAACAAAGGGCAAGCAAAGAGGGGGAATAAAAGGCATGATCATGAAGGATGTACACAGTAGGACAGTAGAGAAAATTCTAAATCCATCAGGGACCAGGAAACATACACTTTGTAATCTCATGGAAGAAGAGACGGATGTCAGTTGACTTTTCCTGGTGGTTCTGACAGTGCCAGCTGCCACGTGGTGGGATGTTCTGTGGAGAGGCCTATAAGGCAAGGGTTCAGGGTGGCCAACAGCTGAAGCTCCCAGTAGCCCAAGAGGGTGAGTCTTGACAACAAGCTCAGCGTGGGTCCTCCTGGGAGGACCTTGTGATGACCACAGTTCTGTGAGGGATGGAGGGTCTGAAGCCCCGGCCTCACTGTGCCCAGTTGCCTTACTCCAAGAATTGTTAGATCAAAAATGTTGTCTGAAGCCACTAAGTTTTAACTTTTTATTCTCCGGAAGGCTGCTCCTGAAAACTGTGAAAACACCTTTCTCAGTCTAACTCCACCTCACTGCTCTGCAGAACATGAAATTATACACCTTGTAGGACCCAGAAAGGCAGGATGCCTTTCAGCTGCCAGCTCTCCATTAGAGCCCTATGCTCTTTGAGGGGAAGGTCTTTATGTCACTCTCCAAAGCCACACACAAATATTTTAGGGTTTTTCCTAAGAAATGATGAATCGAAACCAAAGCATAGTGCATATAGAAAGCAATATTACAGCTGCCCTGTGGAAATCTTTCCACCTCTTGCTTTCTCACTGGTCAAATCAGTATTACCTGAACCCTAATCAGGGCAGACCGCAGGGGTACAATGCAGAGGATTCTCTGATGCTCTCAGAGGCTAGAAAACCTGAGAAATGGTTTCTGCTCTTAGATCAAGTTCCATCTGTCAAGACCTGAAGGCCAGTAAGGTGAAGTCTTCTGCAAAGTAAAGACAGACAAGCATGTACAGAGAACCCTTGATTTTAAAATTACCCTTCTGGAGACTTGACACTGTCCTAAAAGCAAAAAAGTGCATTTCGAGACTTCAAGGAAAATGCTTATGAAACAGAAAATTAAGTGCCTACCTGTTCTAAATGAATGGTTTATTCAAACAAATTATATTGCGTACTTTAGGTGATTTTGAAAGTTAGACCCCACATACATTATATAAGAATATTATATCTCTATTCATATCTGGGGAAAGAGATACAGAAACAGAAGTCTATTCATTAAAGCCAAACTGGAAATTCTTTTTTTTTTTTTTTTTTTCAGATGGAGTCTTGCTCTGTCTCCCAGGCTGGAATGCAGTGGTGCAATTTCTGCTCACTGCAACCTCCACCTCCTGGGTTCAAGTGATTCTCCTGCCTCTGCCTCCCGGGTAACTGGGATTACAGGCACACGCCACCACACCCAGCTAATTTTTGTATTTTTAGTAGAGATGGGATTTCACCATGTTGATCAGGCTGGTCTTAAACTCCTGACCTCAAGCAATCCACCCACCTCAGCCTCCCAAAGTGCTGGGATTATAGGTGTGAGCCACCGTGGCCAGCCCTGGAAATTCAATTTATAATTTAATCCATTATGGTAGCTAAAAGAAAATAAATTTTTTTTGTGTCCAGAGAATCTGAAAAATTGCAAAGGATTTTCATACTTAAAGAAGGAGGCTATAAATGCAAGAAGAATTTGAGTTTTGTCTATGCTACTGTTTGTTTGTTTGTTTGTTTGTCTGTTTATTAAGACAAAGTCTTGCTGTGCCCCCCAGGCTGGAGTGCAGTGGTCTGATCTCGGTTCACTGCAACTTCCGCCTCCCAGGTTCAAGCCATTCTCTTGCCTCAGCCTCCTGAGTAGCTGGGATTACAGGCATGTGCCACTACGCCCAGCTAATTTTTGTATTTTTAGTAGAGATGGGATTTCACTATGTTGGCCAGGCTGGTCTCAAACTCCTGACCTCAGGTGATCTGACTGCCTCAGCCTCCCAAAGTGCTGGGATTACAGGCATGAGCCACGGGGTGTCCAGTGATACTACTGTATAGAAGAATCTACTTCGCCTCTTTGTAAGTCTTTACACCTATGCTAGAATGTACCCCTGCTGGCTTTCAGCCAGCCTCTGACATAGGGCAAATGTGGGGAAAAGTCACAGCACAAGCTAGACTCCATCATATCCACAACAAGGTAAACTTGAACAGTTAAAGCATGGGGGTATGAAAATAATCTTACAAATCATAGTGGACATTCTCAGCTCCGCATGCATGCCAAGAATATTTTTGGGACCATAAAATATCAGTAGAGGGAATTTTAAAGATTATGTGGCCTAATCTATTAATTTCACAGATGAGACAACTGAGGCTTAGAAAGATTAAAAAGATGCATCTAAGTTGCATCGTGGCAAGGTGAGAACTAGAATTCAGTCCTCACTCAGCCCTGTACACTGTTTCTTTACCTAAGTATACATATAGAAAAAAACATATATCCTAATAACTTTTTGGACTACAGGATTTTTCCAATGGTACAGTCTTCCAAATTTAATACATTGATATTTTCTTTTCTTTTTTTTTTTTGAGACGGAGTTTCACTCTTATTGCCCAGGTTGGAGTGCAGTGGCGCGATCTCGGCTCACTGCAACTTCCTCCTCCCGGGTTCAAGCGATTCTCCTGCCTCAGCCTCCTGAGTAGCTGGGATCACAGGCATGCACCACCAAGCCCGGCTAATTTTGTATTTTTTTTTTTTTGGTAGATAAGGGGTTTCTCCATGTTGGTCAAGCTGGTCTCGAACTCCTGACCTCAGGGGATCCACCCACCTCAGCCTCCCAAAGTGCTGGGATTACAGGCATGAGCCACTGTGCCCAGCTGGTATTTTCATACTTTTTAAAACTTCTAAAAATATATGCACACACATAAAGACATCTTGATAATTCCTATGCATTGCTATCCAGTGCTTACACATAGACGGTGCATTCTCTGGAATTCACCCTGGGTCAGAGCCTTCTCACCTCCCAGCACAAGCCAGTAGCTTAAGCCTCAGTGTCCCAGCTTCGGTGCACTGGGCAGGAGATGGGTCTCCCAAGACCACTCAGCCATGTGGTTCCTTCAGCTCTCAGCACAGCCGAGTCCAGGCTGCAGGCTCTCCATCACAAGCCAACTACAGAGTGACACATGTTCTCTACACATGCCGTGACTGAATATGTTGTGTTCTGAAAATATTTGGGAGTTAATTTGTGTTTTGTGCCTAGTGCTTCATGGACCGGTGCTCATTGCATCCTTACAGCCATCTACAAGGGTGTCACCATTATTTGTATTTTATTAGACTTAGAGAGGTGAAGTGACTTGCTCAAAATAATACGGTTAGCAAATGACTGAACCCCGACCCAACAGGGAGAATGTGGGAAGAAATCAACAAAGCTTATTTAACAGGTATCTGCCAAGGGTTGGAAAAAATAAGATTTATTGTTGCTCCACTGAGCAGAACACAGCCCATCAGAGGTTACTGCACCTTCAACGACATGTGCTTTTGACTGACCCATCAAAACACTGGTGGCAAGAGCACTAAATAAGTTGCCTATCATACTTAATCTTTCCAGGATTCAAAGAGGAGTGTAGAGTGAAATGACCTATAAGACCCCTGAGCCTAAAATATAATCTAATGGACTCAGCTTTAAAGCGCTCATTGAGAGGATGGCCAAAAACCAGCCGCCACAGTGCGAAGCACGATTCCTCCACCATCCGCAGTCCACTCGCACAAATACCCTCAGTGAAACACTTCTTTCTCTCCACCCACTTTTGAGTAGGATGAAATGGCACATTCCATTTTCAAAGTGGGCAGCTTGCACGTATCAGCAGTGCCAGGAATTTGGAAAACGATAACGTGGAACCCACAGTAACTTGCTGGCTGAATTTACTCACCCAGGTGACCCAGGTCGATGAGGGCTTCAGAGCCACGGGGATTTTAAATGCCGCTTCAAAGCCAACAAGGAGCAGAACCAGTGCTGATTCGTGTTTATGATAATGACATTTGAAAGGCTAAAAATTACAAAGTTGTTTACAGAGATGGACTTAGAAAATAATTGTATCTAATGTCTCATAAACATAAAAGAAAGTTATTTTGTAGTAGATGATTGAAAAGAAAAAATCTCCTTTAAAAAGGAAATAAATATACTAGTTTCAGACAGAAACAACTTCAAAGGCAATCAGAAAATTCAGTGGAATTTTAAAGAGGGAATCTCACTCAAAGAATTCTCTAAAATTGCCTAAACTTAAAAGCATTATTTTTCTCGAGACATTTAATTTAGATTGCATACCAAACCCTGTAATAAACCTCCTGCAAAGAAATAATAATAGACCATAGGCATTATATATGTTCACTGTTCACTGCGTGTAAATACAATGATTGACCTTCCATCAACAGACAAGAGGCATAACTCCATGGCAACAGAGAAATAGAGGTCACAATCATATTTTCCAAGGCAATTTTTGGCCCTCGGGGGATTCACTGTTATACTTGGAGGCCATGTCACCTGAGAGTCAATGGGCAACGATCAAATTTCACCTTGAGCAGATTCTTTTGTTTGCTTTTTAGTCACAAATAGCTTGGCCCTAAGTGGTGGCTCCCATTCTTGTAAGATGCGTTTATTCATCGTGTAATCACCAGTTCCCTGTAGTGGGGGCGTGGATGGAGTGTCAGAGGCTCCTGCTGGTCTTTAGGGTGTCTGGCCTCCAGGAATCCTAGAGGTAGTATTTGGAGAGATTTTTAAAAGCTTTGTTTCTGTGACCAGCAAAACCTGGATTTGACACTGAGGTCAGCCCGTTTCAGCCAGTGACGTAACCTGTCTTTTTGCCCCAGTAAATTGGGAACTACAGCACTCGATGTTAGAGTTGTCGTGAAGATTAAAGAAGGTGACGACTGGACAACTCCCAGCCCAATACCTGAAACTGTACCAGCACCCAGTGAGCACTGCTATTCCTGTGACTGCTGCACATTTGCCTTATCTCAGCAGTATGCCTGTGTCACTTTTTTGGTAAGATAGAGACCATTTTAAAATATGAAATATAAATATATTATTTAAACAATTTCCCCTTGGCTCATATAGGTTGAAACAGAAATTATTTCATGGGTTGTGAAGTTGAATGAGACTCACTACTAAGTTTTTATGTAACATAGGAATAAAAATTATTGTTATATCACTGGTGCAGATACATAAAATGTACAGATGCATAAATGTTAATATGTGTGTGTATATATATGTATAAGTTTAGTCATTTCATAGATCGTGGGTAAATGACATTAACAAGCAAAATACATTGGAGAATTTCATTTGTTCTGAATAATAAATATATTACAGAAACAAAACTGCAGTATCAAAAGACAGCACTTTAGCAAGTATGGAGTTTGTAATAAAAGGCTTTTTTGTAGGCTAACGTCAAGACTTTCACAGTAGTTTAACTGAAGAATCTGCAAAATTTAACAGTTATTCCAATCCCTTCTATGTTAAGGATTACCCTTCAATCAATGTCTCATTTTCTCTCTAAAATCTATTGAAAAAGAAAAAAAAAAACACAACAGAACCAGGATTGTTCCTCTGGCTAATGGTGTCACACGTAAAATGCTCAATCACAGCGTGATTTGAAAAGGCTCAAAGCAGAACTTCTAAATTTGAGCTGCTATTGATTTCCCTGGAAACTGAAGGAAAGAGGCCGATTGCTATTTGACAGTGAGGTTAGAATTTTTATAAAATATTTTCTCTTTTAAAAATCCATAATATATTTCTTTTCTTTTTTTTTTTTTTTGAGAGTTTTGCTCTCGTTGCCCGGGCTGGTGTGTGTGATGCGATCTCGGCTCACTGCAATCTCCACCTCCCAGGTTCAAGCAATTCTCCTGCTTCAGCCTCCCATGTAACTGGGATTACAGGTGCCCACCATCATGCCCGGCTAATTTTTGTATTTTTAGTAGAGATGGGGTTTCACCATATTGGCCAGGCTGGTCTCGAACTCCCAACCTCAGGTGATCCACCCGCCTTGGTCTCCCAGAGTGCTTCAATTACAGGCATGAGTCACCGTGCCCAGCCAAAAATCCATAATATATTTCTATAATTGTCTTCTTTACTGTGAGTTCTCCAAGTCAAACAACTATGTATATTAAAACAATGATGTATATCATAAAATTTACATGATTGGTCTTTATTAAACAATCCTTCACTCTCTTCTCCTCTGAACATGATGAACCTCCCTAAGGAATAAAGTCAGGACATTTTAAGGGTTTGAGCAAATGAATCATTTCATCTTCAATTTCAGAAAATAGGTCTTCATGAAAGCAAAAGGAAATCTGATTTTCCAAGTGATATGACACATCAGGAGAAACACGGGCTTCTAAAGAATATACACACTTAAAAATGGATTATTTACAATTTTTAAGCATAAAACACACATCAGGAGAAACACAGGCTTCTAGAGAATACACACACTTAAAAATGGATTATTCACAATTTTTAAGCATAAAACAAGACACAGTGTGTGCACACACGTGCACTGCTGATTTCTGTTGCTGGAGGCACGGCGCTGTCTTCGGGGTTGTCGTCATTGCTAGCTGGTCAACACCGCACTTGTGTTGTAGCCTTCAAGGCCGAACCCTGGTTTCTGACATCACTTGGCAGGGTTGCTATGGGAACAGTGGCTTTGTGTGTCCCTGAGGGAACAAAGGGGGATTGCCATTAGCGGACTTCAGAGCGGGCCTGGTGCCCTATTGGTACAGGATCGCAGAACAGCACATTCAACGTTATCGCCAAGGCAAAATTCCATTCATGCTTCACATGTCTTCTTCCAGCAAACACGTCTTTGAGTGCATGTTATTGCCACAGCTTTGGGACAGGGGCCAGGACAACAGGGAGACTTTTCAGGGCTGGGCAGGGATCGCCCGTCAAGAGCAAGGGGCAGGGTTTTGAATCATGTCTTTTGTCTTCTGAATCCCAAATGACGGCTGTTTCCAGGAAATTTCAGTTTCTTTTGTCATTTTTTTTTTTTTAAATCTTGGGGTATGTGTAAGACTAATTTTAAAGTCCATGAACAATCAGTCAGATAACAGTCTGACTTTCCCAACTCCTGCCCAAAACCAAAATTAGCTAAACTCAGGCACCTGGCTAATGGATACAGACCGCCCTCATGAAAAATTAGGGACAATTTAAGAAATCTATTTAATAGATTTAACAATGACTTATTATTTAATAATATTTAATAAAGATTAAAGTTACAGCTATTATGCCCAGCAAGTTCTCTCATATAACTATATAATTGTTCACAGACAGAATATCTTCATTTAGGACATTCCCTTTATTAATTTGACCTTAAAATATTTTGACTTTATTATGCATGTCATAAGTATATGATTAATTTAGAGAAAAATTAGCACATAAATATAAGTATCATTCAGATCAAGTAATAGAACATTATTACCATTCCAGAACCCTCCTTCCTACCCTTGCAATCATAGCCCTTCAAAAGGTAACCAGGCAAGGCACAGTGGCTCATGCCTGTAATCCTAGCACCTTGGGAGGCCGAGGTAGGAGGAGTGCTTGAACTCAGGAGTTCAAGACCAGCCTGGGCAACATGGCAAAACTCAATCTCTACCAAAAAAAAAGAATAATAAATAAATACAAAAATTAGCTGGATGTGGTGGTGTGCGCCTATAGTCCCAGCTAGTGGGGAGCCTGAAGTGGGAGGATGGCTTGAGCCAGAGAGGCTGCAGTGAGCCAAGATCATGCCACTGCACTCCAGCCTGGGCAACAGAGTGAGACCCTGTCTCAAAACAAAACAAAACAGAACAAAACAAAACACTATAGGTAGCCACTATTCTGATGTCTGTCATTATAAACTTATTTTACTGGTTTTTTCTTTATATAAATAGAATTATACGTATCAAAGAGAGTATACTGACTCAGCAATCTGTCTTATGGGTGTGCATCTGTAGTTATTTTTCATTGCTGTCTACGTTCCCTGGTATGACTATAAACACGATGTAGCGTAATACTATTCATGGACATTTGAGCTGTTTCCAGCTTGGGGCTATTTATGGAAAAAGCTACTCTAAACATTTTCACCAGTATCTTTTCTCTTGGTACTAGGCACTCTTTTCTCATGGGTACATTCAGAGAAGAGGAATGTTTGTTCACTGGGTAAGCCTAAATTCCTTTTAGTAGATACTGCAAATAGTTCCACAAAGTACCCTTTCCAGGTAGATGAGGCTCTGGCCAGAGTTAATGAGAGCTCTTCTTTGTCGACACTTTTAATTGTCAGATTTTTTTTGTTTGTTTTTTGCTTTTTTTGTGCCATTTTGGCAGGTGTGCTGTCTCATTTTCATTCATTCACTGTCATTTTAATTTGTACTCAGATGATCCTTGGTGCCCACCATTCAGAGCACTTATTTGGAGGATGTGTGTGTAGTGAAGTTTTCAGCCCATTTTGCCTTCAATTGAATGTTCTTTTCCTATTAGTTTGTAGTAGTTCTTCATATATATATTCTATGTGTGAACCTTTGTTGAATATATATACCATAATTATCTTCTATACTGTGGTTTGCCTTTTGATTCTCTTAATGGTATATTCTGTAACACAGAGTTCTAGTTTAAAGCACTAGTTTTCAGTCTTTTTTTCTTCTGTGGTAAGTCCTCTGTGTATATGTTTATTGTTTTAGAAATCTTTGATTTCTTCAAGGTCTTCTCAGTATTTTTTCATGACCGCTTTTAGAAAAGATTTTTGATTTTTCTTATTTCAATACAAAACACCTGGAACGATTTTTGTTTATTGTGTGAGGTAGAGATCAAAGGCTTTTTAAAAATATGGATATATAATGGAAACAATCCATACTTATAAGAAAGATTGCTTTCCCTCAATGCATAGCAAAGAGTTTTTTTTCCCCTCTTCTTTCTTTCCCCACGAATCATGTGAATAGTAAGCGTGGGTTTTCTTCTGCACTCTATTCTATGACACTGACCTATTTGTCTATTCTCACACCAATCAGCACTATGCCATTTTCATTGCTGCAGCTTTAACAAGGTTTGAGATCTGAGAGTAAAAGACCTCTAAGCTTGTTTTATATTCTCAATTTGTCTTCATTATTTTTTATCCTTTTTGTTTTCATACACATTTTAGGATCAGCTTTTCAATTTGTAAAATAGAAGGGCTGAGATTATGAGAGGAGTTACACTGAATTTTTAAATCAATTTAGGAGAATAAACTTAATTACAATATTGATTCTTAGAATCCTTCAATAATGTATGCTGTTTATTTTCTTAAGACTTCTTGAATATCTCTCAGTAATGTTTACAGTTTTCTGTGTAAAAGACTCTTGCACACATGACTTTTATTCCTAGAAATTTTATTTTTTCTGCTACTGTAAAAGTTTTCACTTTAAATAAAATTTTTACACAGTTCATTAAAGTATATGGAAACACACCTGATTTCTCACATTAGCCTTTCATCGGTAATGCTGTTAAACTCACTGACTTATTCTAATAGTTGATCTGTATATCCGAATATATTTTCTATCTACACAATCATGCTGATAATGCAAAATGACAGTTTTACTTTATCTTTCCAATTCTCACGACTTTTCCTTTGTTTGCCTTATTGCAGTGAAGAGAACATCCCGTGTACTATCGTGTAGAAGTTGTAGTAGACGCTGTGGTCTTTCCAACAACAAACAAAGTAAGTTTTCGAAGTTTTATTATCAAGTATGATAACCTCTGTAGGGTTTTCTTGAGATACCCTTTTTCAGATAAACAAAACCTCTCTCTGTAGTTTGCTACCAATTTTATTTTGAATGGGTGTTGAAAATATCAAGTGCTCATTTTGTGTCTACTGAGATGCTCCTGTGAGTTTTAATGGTAATATAATAAATCACATTGTTTGAATTTTAAATCTTGGCACACATTTATAGAATAAACCCAACTTGGTTGTAATGTATAATTCTTTTTGTATGCCACAGATTTGGTTTGTTAATATTTCGTCTAGGAGTTTTGTATCTCTGCTTATGAGAATAATCTGCCCGTAATTTTCCTATCTTACAATGTCTTTGTGAAGTTTTGTTATTAAGATTGCGCTGGCCTCATGCAGAGAGTCCGAAGCGTTCCTGCCTTTGCCATTTTCTGGTTGAGTTCATGGATGGTTAGTGTCAGCTCTCCCTGCAGTGTTTTTAGTGATTGAATGATTCAGTCCTCTGGACTTGACTTTTCTTATTGAGAATGTTTCAAATTACAAGTTCAATTCCATCCATAAAAATGGAGTTATAAAGATTTTGTACTTCTTGTTTTAGTTCTGGAATTAGTGGTATTTTTCAAGGAATGTGCTCATGCCATCTAACATTTCAAATTGATTTGCAAAACAATGGTCATGATACTCTCTGCTTCCTAACCCAAAGAACCTGCAAAAATGTTCTTTTACCTGGTAAAAGGAACTTGGCAGAGATGACTAAATCAAGGATCCAGTCACGCTAATATCTCACAAATAAGTATCTCTGTTCCACCCCTCTTCCCTGAGCTTGAGACCCTCAACACCCCAGCACAGCACTGCTAACCAAGTGCCTTACAATCTTGGATGTTCCACAGGGAGGAACCAAACCTTTGAGCCTCTACGCATCTCCCTCTCCTTCCTTTCCTGGATTCCTCTATCTCAATCAAATCATTACTCAGGTCCTTAAACTACACCTGCGTTCATTTTAGTTATCTGTTTAACATTTACTGGCTTCACATTATTTCCTCAGAAAAAGGAAAAAAAAAGTGAATTTCTTGCCCAGATCTGCAACAACTTCTAAGATCTGACCTGTAGCCACCCACACCTGGAAGCTCCAGCCTTGCCTCTCCCCAGTTCACCCAGTAAGCGCTGGACACGGGGCTGAGCTGGGACTTCGATGCTTACTCTGCCTGGAAACCTCCTTTCTCTCTCCCCACTTCTGAGGCTCCGCTCAGGTGCTGTTTTACCTGAAACCCTCCAGGCTGTTCTCTCTGGAAATGCCTCTCTCTTCTGCCCTTTATCTTCCACCTGAATGGGAGGATGTCTCATTCCTAACACTCAGGACAGGTCTTCATAGCGTTTATCCTGCTTTGTCATCTGCATGCCCCACAGGGCTGAGAGCTCCAAGGAGCTGTGAATCACACCTCCGACTCCCCCCAGGGTACAGGAACGGGGTTCAGAATGCTCTTCCCAAAGGTGAGATACAACATGAAGAGTGGTTATTTCTGGGTTATGGGATGAAGAGTAATTTTTTTGTTTTCTTTATTAGACGTTACTAAATGAACCTGCTTGGTGTTAACCACATGTGGCTTTTATAATCAGAGAAATAAAACAAAACTGACAGTAAAAATACATAGAAGAAGGATTATGTAAAATTTATAATTAAAAATTTGTTGATTTTAAATGATGGTGCTTAGAGGGTATTACCTTTGTCTTCAAATTGGAAAGCCTCAGCTGTCCGGGGTAATGATTTGCCCAAACACTCCATTTAATTCGAGTTTTACTGTCTGTATTTTGTAACAATAAGATTATTGCTTCTATACCCTACACATGCGCAGAGAGATAAAGGAAGGGTATGTTCTTTTAACTTCTTTTCTAATCTTGGGTCCAAGTCAAGGGATTTTATTTCTAATGCTTGGTCTTTACAATTTTTCTTTTTTCTCATTTCTCCTTGATTTTCCAAAAGGGAAAAGGGGAAACTCTTGGGTTTTGGTTTCAGCATTATTCCCAAAAGACTTCAAATTAATTTACAGGACTCTGGGTTGAGCGCAGTTGCCTTTCTGGCCTGAGGGTGTAAACTTTTTCTTAGGCAAATTCCCTGCTGAGTTCCCAAAATAGCAGAGAGTAAATGTAGTCCCACGTGTTTTGAGTCTAAACAGATGTATGTATGTGGATTTGTAAGTGAGTCACATCTATACTGTTCTTTTACTCGAGAGTAATTGGGCCAGGCACTGTGGCTCACGGCTGTAATCCCAGCATTTTAGGAGGCCAAGGCGAGAGGATCACCCGAGGTCAGGAGGTTGAGATCAGCCTGGCCAACATGGTGAAATCCCTTCTCTACTAAAAATACAAAAATTAGCCTGGTGTGGTGGCGCGCACCTGTAGTCCCAGCTCCTTTAGGAGGTGGAGGCAGGATAATTGCTTGAACCAGGGTGATGGAGGTTGCAGTGAGCTGAGATCGTGCTACTCACTCCAGCCTGGGTGACAGAGCTAGACTCCGTCTCAAAAAATAAATAATACAAATAAGTAAGTAGCGTAATCGGCAGAGTATTAAGGAGTCATTCTCCTGCCAGCCACGCTGAATGCACACACCCTGATGGCAGTGAACAGCGTCCACTGGATGTGAGCTTAGTGCTGAGGACCAGCACGCCTTTGCTAATGTCCTCAAAGGGAAGGCCCCTGAGGCTCGGAGAGCTGATGCCCTGCCTGGGGTCTCAGGCTTATGCCGCTGGGATGTCTCTGCTCTCCTCTGTCTCGTGACCACCATGGCGCAGGCTCTC